>NC_000007.14:147185652-147337167 GCF_000001405.40 Homo sapiens
TAGGAACACTAGGACACTATTTTTATAAAACTCAAATGAGTATAAAACAAAACACTATGCAATGATGTGGTTTAGGTGTGTCCCCACCCAAATCTCATCTTGAATTGTGGCTCCCATAATTCCCATGTGTCGAGGGAGGTACCTGGTGGGAGGTAATTGAATCATGGGGACAGGTTTTTCCTGTGCTGTTCTCGTGACAGTGAGTAAATCTCATGATATCTGATGGCTTTATAAGGGAGAGTTTCCCTGCACAAACTCTTTGTTTTTGTCTGCTGCCATGTAAGACATGACTTTGCTTCTTTTCTGCCTTCCACCATGATTGTGAACTCGCTAACCACGTGGAACTGTGAGTCCATCAAACTCTTTCCTTTATAAATCACCCAGTCTCTGGTACGTCTTTATTAGCAGTATGAGAACAGACTAACATGTGCATATGTTAAAACGACATTTTGAAAGGGAAGAGAAGGAAAATATTACATTTCAGAATAGTTATTCTGGGTGAAAGTGAAGAAGATGGGAATGGAAGGAGACACTGGGAGCATCAATCTTAATGCTTACACTAAATTCTCTTGTTGGGTCATAGACTCAAGAGGATTTGTTTAATTGGTATGCCATATAATCTAATTATTAATAATATATGGGTTCTTCTGTATCAAGTATTACATAATAAAATATTTTTAAAGGCATAGAAGATCTTTTCTGTTCTGTGCCTCATATAAATTATCTCATTTACTTTGAAGCAAACTTTTGAGGCATTTATTATTGCCCTCATTTTAAAGATGAGGAAGCTGAGGTTTAGAGAAGCCAAGAAACACAGTTCTTGAGAGACATAGCTAGAGTTCAGGTCTGTACCGTAGCCCCTTCCTTTAACCATTACACTGTCTTTCTCCATTTGGACCCTTTATAGAGGGAAGATCACAGCACTGACCCCTGTTCTCATTGGAGTAGGAGGTGCTGAGAGAGCTATGTAAAAAGTACACACTGGAGAGTGGAAAATTTTCACAGAAATATTGACACATAAACTTAGGCAAACAGAAGGTAGAAAAGATGTTTCACCACCAAAAACTGTCCACGTAGAGATGTGGAGAGAACCAAGAACCTGGAGGATGTGAGCACAGTGGGCCTTCTGGCATGGCAGAAGCAGAGGGAAGTGAAGGAGGGAACAGCAGTGCTAAGGATAGAAATGCAGGTTTGGTCCAGTTGAAGAAGGCACTTGATCTTTTCGGGCTGACCAGTAGGTCTTAAACTGTAGTGCATATTGTTATCACCTGGCAGACTTGTTAAACTGAAGGTTGCTGAGCCCCATTCTCAAAATTTCAGACTCAATAAGAATGAGTGGAGCCTAAACATTTCCATTCTAACAAATGCTCAGGTGGAAATCACTTTGAAAAGCAAAGCTTTAGGGCTGGCATATAAGGAGGATTGCTTTTAGAATGTCAGTGATGGTGAAGCTGTGGAGAATGGGCTGGGGAGAAAGAATGAACATGGAGAGTATAGTTAAGCCACTGCAGGAGCTCAGGTAGGTCTGAAACAGTGGTGGTGGAGATGGAGAGAGAGTGCTGCAGTTGAGGCATGTCTGAAGTCTATGAACATAAAGTAGTAAGGCATGAGTTGGGGGCATAAAGATAGAGAGGCTCCCAAGCTCCTGCCAGAGGTACTGAGTGAAGAGTAGACTCATTAATCAATGCAGGGACAACAGAGAATCAACTCAGGTGCCCATCAACGGTAGACTGGTTAAAGAAAATATGGTCACAAATACCATGGAATACTAGGTAGCCATAAAAAAGAACAGAATTATGTCCTATGAAGCAACATGGATGTAGCTGGAGGCCATTATGCTAAGTGAACTAACCTAGAAACAGAAAACCAAATACTACATGTTCCCACTTGTAAGTGGGAACTAAACATTGGGGACATAAATATGGGAGCAATAGACCCTGGGGACTGCTACAGCAGAGAGAGACGGATTGGGGCAAGGGCTGAAAAACTGCCTATTGGATACTCTGCTCACTACCAGTCACACCCCATACCTTAGCATCACACTATATATCTTTGTAAAAACCTGCATCTGTACCCCTGAAGCTAAAATAAAATTTGGAAAAGAAAAATAATCGATACATAAAATAAAGAGTTATGCTGGCTCACACCTCTAATCCCAGCATTTTGGGAGGCCAAGGCAGATGGATCACTTGAGCTCAGGAGTTCGAGATCAGCCTGGGCCACATGGTGAAACCCTGTCTCTACCAAAAATATAAAATATTAGCCAGGTATGGTGGTGCACACCTGTGGTCCCAGCTACTTGGGAGGCTGAAGTGGGAGGACCATTTAAGCCCGGGAGGTGTAGGTTGCAGTGAGCTGAGATTGTGCCACTGCACTCCAGCCAGGGTGACCAAGTGAGACTTCATCTCAAATAAATAAATAAATAAAATGAGAGAAAAAAGAACAAACAAATACTCTTTTCCTCCAAGAGGGCACTAGAAAGAGGATACATAATAGTAACTTTTAGAAGAGATTTATAAAAAATAGAGTGTGAATTAATTGTCTCTCCCCTTGGAAACAAGAGTTTAACATAAACAACATGGGTTTGCAGATGTGTGTGGGCAGGATAGGGCAAGACCAAGGACAGCATGGTATCAGTGAAGGAAATGTGTAGGAGAGTCCAGAAAACAGCAGCCAGTTGAGAAGTTCGAAGCCTGTCAAGGAGGATATTTTGATACTATTTACAAGGTACTTCACATACACGCATGATATTTTGTGGCAGGTAATAGTAAGGATGTAATATTGATAGAAGAGGGAGAGCTATGAAATTGACTATCCCCAAGTAGCAAACAAGAATTATAGGGTGAATTATCCTCTCCTATCCCTGAGAGAAAGCACCAGATTGGGCTTCTGTAAATGCAAAATACAGGATGAAATAAAGGCTCAGTCTGACAGCGGAAGCTTTTGGTTTGTTTTCTTTGGTTGTCCCTCAAAGTAGAAAGTAAAGAGAAGGAGGAAGTAGTTCAAGGTGCAAAGATATTCTGAAGTGGAGAAGGAAGAAGTCCACAGGAGTCATATGCAGTTAGGTAATCTGGATAAGAGCAAAAGTAAACTGAAATATGCAGTAGGGTTTGCATCATGGGAACAAAGAAGATTAATTTGATGTGAGTGATATGAGCTAGGGAAATAATTTAAAAATTGAAAAAAATGTGAATAATAATTGTAGAGATTATTCCTTTTATAAATTGTGTTAATACACACTTCTTTTTTAGGGGCTAGCATCACAAAATTACCAGAAGCATTGTGTTGTTTTGCCAATTAAAGGAATCCAAATAACTCCAAAATGATTAATTACCACTTTCTGTAAATCCTCAGGTGAACTCATTTGCACAGAATTCCCTGCAGTTGTAAAGAAAACAGAACACTTGACAACTTGTCAGGCACCTACATTCTTTTTTCCTTTTATTTATTAAATTCTTTTACTATTACATGTTATTTTCCACAGATGTTATGTGAAATTTCTCTCCTAAGCAAAATAAATAACTTTTTTAAGAATTAGAAAATCTAAAGGACAAAATTTTATATTATAAAACTATACATAGTATTTTATTTTGCTGGCATAAATGCAAATAATCATCTTACAGAAAAACATTAATATTACGTTTTGACTTCTTTCCACATGACATCTACAAGGCAAATAACATTACAAATCCTCAGTACTTTCTAACTGATATATGGAAATAGTGTGGAAAATCACATGTAGAATTACATGTAGTATGCTTGTAATACTGATTTCCTACAATGTACAGATAGGGTAATACTCTGTCCTTGGAACTTTGCTGAGAAAGTATCAGGAAACATAACAGGAAACATATCAGAAACAACTAAATGGTGATTTGTACTAACATTAATATATTGTTTATATATAAATAACTCTATACACATCTCTAAGTATAAATGCACACATCTGTATGCATACATTTATTAACATCCATTGATATACCACAAAAAGTTTGATTAATCATTTTGAGAAATACATTAAAAAAGAAACAAAATTTTTAATCTTCTCCTTACTCTATGACTTCCAATCTTGGGCTCACATTAACACCACTTTTTTTTGTTGTTGTTGTTGAGACGGAGTCTCACTCTGTCGCCCAGGCTGGAGTGCAGTGGCGCGATCTCGGCTCACTGTAAGCTCCGCCCCCCAAGTTCACACCATTCTCCTGCCTCAGCCTCCCGAGTAGCTGGGACTACAGGTGCCCGCCACCACGCCCGGCTAATTTTTTGTATTTTTAGTAGAGATGGGGTTTCACCGTGTTAGCCAGGATGATCTCCATCTCTTGACCTCGTGATCCACCCGCCTCGGCCTCCCAAAGAGCTAGGATTACAGGTGTGAGCCACCGTGCCCACCCTTAACACCACTTTTTGAAGATATCTTTACCTTCAAGGGGTATTTGTATCCCAAATATATTCAGTCCATTGTCTGGCACATCATCTGTCACATATAGAGCTGCAAGAAGCTCTTCCAGTATCCTAGCATCAAAAGAACATTCTCTTCATGACCATTTCACTGCACCTCAGAAAAACAAGAGGCCGAATTCATCTTCCTAGTCATGTTGTGGTGTAATTAAATTTAAAGGAATCACTACTTATGTAATGTATTTTTTCCCTTTAAGTTGTCTGGAGTAAGTTTTGGAGAAACTTGCATGATAATATCAAAACTTGTTTTCTTATTGTGTTCAGAAAGCAAAAGAGAAATATTAACATTATTTTTAGCCTTCTTGTGTTACTGGAACCATGTCACAGAATGAGAGTTTCTCTGGGAATAAGATGTATTGCAATATTCTGACTAACAGAATGTCAGAGTAAGAAATTTTTATCAGTTGTTCTTTGGGTCATTGTCACACATCATCTGCATATAATTTCCATAGCAGTGAACAGTGAATGTGACATTAGCTTCGCAATGGTGTTGGCTTGAGGGCTGGATATACCGATGTGCATTCCAGTCATGGCAATTCCTGGAGAAAAAAAAATTAATTATAATCATTTTGCATAAATCACCATGAACAATGAGGTACTCATCACCTTGTCAGTTAGTTTGCAGCATTCAGTTGGCTGGCAAACTGGTGACTTTATGAAGCATTAAACTATGTCACCGTTAGCCAGATTAAACTCACTGTAACATTATACTTACATAAAGTGCTTTGTGAAGGAAATATGAAAAATGTTAACTGAACCGATCTCAGAAGACAGGAAAATGATTGTGATATAATGCTTGGGTTGAATATTGTCACTTTCCTGGTGTAAGCCCATTATGGTTTCCAAAGGACTATATTCAAATAATAAGAAAAAAGTCAGGACTCTAACTTGGAAGATGTAAAGACATATATATATTAGATGAAATACTCTAAATGAGAAAGAAAGAAAAGAAGAAAAGGGGGCTGTAAAATGACTCACCATGTACAGTCTAGAATCATAGAGACAGGGTGGGAGAGGCCCAGAGAGAGTTGAAGGGTCCAGTATATTTCACCCCTCAGATTCTGTGGATTAGAAACCAAAGTCTGGAGAAGGTTAAGTGTCTAGCCCAAGACATAGCTAGAAGGTGGTGGGTCCCTAACCTCGAATATAGTATATTTTCACAGGAGCCTAAATGAAATGGAATTCAGGGAGTAAGATAAAGACCAGTTTTCATTAACATTTGCGTTAAAGTTAAATATCATTTTTATGAGAAGACAAAAGTAAGATCAAATCCTGAAGTCAAAGTAAATAACCCTGTGTAAAAACGCAAAGTTCATGGGCTTTACAGGCTGTGCTCACAAGTCTATGACCACTGCTTGGAAGGAACAGGAGTGGAGGCTGTGGCTTATTTTCCTGGTGGCATGTGGTATGAGCCACAATTTTAGTGAAAGGGTACAGTCATGTCTTAGGTCTCTGGAAACTGCCTAATGATTTGATATCCTGGAGATTTTTTCTGGTCTGCTTTATGGAAGACATTTATATATAGGACAGTGAAAAACACTATTTCTGGAGGGGAAAGAACAATACGGTTAAGTCTAGGTTTTCTATTTCTTCTTGAGTTTGTTTTCTTTTTTGCTTTTAGATTTCTAATCAGCTCAAAAGATCTCCAAGTCTCCAAACCCTTCACGAATTAAAAAAAATGTAAACCCTACAAATTTCTTAACTCCATCTGCATAACACTGCCACAGATAGAAAAGTGTAAACAAGATAACAAGAGCATGGGCAACTCTGTTTTTAAAAAAGCAAAACTGAATTTTATTCCAGAAGATTCTGTCCTGTCCTGTTTGTAAGCTACGCTGCCAAAAATGAGTGCCAACACTTTGGGAGTGGGGAGTGTATATTGTTTGAGGTATAAACATGATTATAATGTACAAAAATAATAATTTACAAATGAACCACAATTTCTAAGGTTGCTTCATATATGTCAATTAGTAAATAAATAAATGCATAATTAAAAGAAAATTGAAGTAAAATAGTCATTTGGTCTCAGCAAGACTCTCAACACCAGCCAAAGCATGAAGGAAGTAATGTCCTTTTCTCTATTCAAGCTGTTACAGCTTTCTCCAGTGGTCGGAAACATTTTACTCTTCACCTTCTGATAAAATCCCAGTCAGCTGCCTTTCCCTGGTCCGTTCCTCCAGCCTCCCATGAAGAAGTGATCCTTCTCTTTTTTAATACCACTTCTTCTCCTCTTTATGTCTTTTGTCACATATCACTGAAATTTTACCCAAGGACTATACCCTCTTTCTCCTAAAAGTTCCACCTCCCTACTTCTATATTCTGATCCATTAGTTCTCAGTGTGGTCCTGGGAACTTGTTAAACATGCAAATTATCTGGCCCCACTGCAAACCTACTGCATCACAAACTCTGGGGTACAGTCCAGTATTCTGTGTTTTCCCCACCCTCTCCAAGTGACTCAGAAACAGGCTAACATTTGGGAACCACAGCTCTAATATATTCTATCTTAAAGAGAAAAAAAAAATGGTACTGCAGCCCTGGGTTTCCCTTCTACTTTCCTTCTTCCCTGAACTGTCAAATTCCTCAGAGTACTTGTTCCCTTTCCTTTCTCTTATTACATTTGTTTTCCAACTCACTGGTCATACTCAGTGTCGTTTGGCATTTTGAGGAATTACATGTTCGGATTGATTTTTGTGCTGCCAAATAACTACAATGCTTTCTAAAGTTGGAAATACAGTTGTGACTAGTGGATGATTAGATTCTTCTTTGTAGCTCTATTTGACTGTAATGGGCGCAACTTACTGGTTTTACCCCAGACTAGTCCAGAAAATTATTTAGTGAACAGAATTGTATTTTTGCAGTCTACCAATTATATCACTAGATATCTTGGAAAAAAACGCCTTGCAAAGTAGTGATAGCTGGACAACCTGGGTTGTGATCTTGGCTTCTTCATTGTGTGACAATAATATAATACTTAATTATTCTTCACAATAATATTAGTAGTTAATTACTCGTTGCTATTAGTAATTATTTTGCTTGCTCACAAAATTCAAGGTTATTCATGTATTTTTCTATCTAAAGCCTCATAAAGCACAGTGAAGTATATTTAATATCAATTTTCAGATAAATAAATGGAAGTTTAGTGCTATTAGGGAACTTGTCCAAGTTAATGTAGCTAAAAGTAGGCAATGAGCTGGATTTCCAACCAAGGTCTGTCTAAGCCTGTCGAACAGGCTGCTAATGAAACCTTCTGGGAAGTTGTTGTGTAGATTATTCTATTTATGTATTTTATTAGTTCATTCAAAAGCAGTGTTAAGCCTCTGCTTTCTGGGGTGCACTAGGCTAAGCCCTGGAAACACAGAGAAGAAAGATACAGCCCACAAGGAATCACATTCTGGTGAAACAACAGATAACTAAACTATTTAAGTAGATTTTTGTAAGAGTCATGATTTAGAGGCACACAGAGCATTGAGGGAACATGGAGACTATATGAGGTACATAACCTGGGATGGGGAGCTCATGGAAGCCCTGCTAGGGTCAGTGACCTTAGTGTTTTGTTAGAGAAACAAGAGCCAGGAAATAAATTGAATGAAAGGAATGTAGGAAAGGAACCTCAGACATAAAGAATACCAGTTGCAAAGCAGGAGAGAGTAAATAAATAGGCAGAGGTAAGATTACAAAAACTTCCATGCCCTTCAAAGGAATCAGAATGTCTAGAAGGCAAGAGGAGGAGAGTAGGGATACTTTTAAGACAAAATGAGAGTTAGAAATCTCATAATGACAATACTGTGGAAAGTGGATTTAAGCATTAGAAGGAATGAATGCCAATAATTATCTTAGATTGTTTTTTTTTTCTTCTAAAAAAAAGTGGGGGGAGATACATGTGCAGAAGGTGCAGGTTTGTTACATAGTTATACATGTGCCACGGTGGTTTGCTGTACCTATTGACCCCTCCTCTAAGTTCCATCCCCTGACCCCCCACCCCCCAACAGGCCCTGGTGTGTGATGTTCCCCTCCGTGTGTCCATGTGCTCTCATTGTTCAACTCCCACTTATGAGTGAGAACATGCAGTATTTGGTTTTTGGTTCCTGTGTTAGTTTGCTGAGAATGATGGCTTCCAGCTTCATCCATGTCCCTGCAAAGGACATGATCTCATTCCTTTTTATGGCCGCCTAGTATTCCATGGTGTATATGTACCACATTTTCTTTATCCAGTCTATCATTGATGGGCATTTGGGTTGGTTCCATGTCTTTTCTGTTGTAAATAGTGCTGCAATAAATATACGTGGGCATGTGTCTTTATAGTAGAATGGTCTCTATTCTTTTGGGTATATACAAAGTAATGGGATTGCTGGATCAAATGGTATTTCTGGTTCTAGATCCTTGAGGACTACTGTCTTCCAAATGGTTGAACTAATTTACACTCCCACCAACAGTGTAAAAGTGTTCCTATTTCTCCACATCCTCTCCAGCATCTATTGTTTCCTGACTTTTTAATATTCGCCCTTCTCACTGGAATGAGATGGTATCTAATTGTGGTTTTGACTTGCATTTCTCTGATGATCAGTGACGTTGAGCTTTTTTTCATATGTTTGTTGGCTGCATAAATGTGTTTGAGAAGTGTCTGTTCATATCCTTTGCCCACTTTTTGATGGGGTTGTTTGTTTTTTCTGGTAAATTTGTTTAAGTTATTTGTAAATTCTGGATATTAGAACTTTGTCAGATGGGTAGATTGCAAAAATTTTCTCCCGTTCTGTAGGTTGCCTGTTCACTTTGATGATAGTTTCTTTTGCTATGTGGAAGCTCTTTAGTTTAATCAGATCCCATTTGTCAATTTTGGCTTTTGTTGTAATTGCTTTTGGCATTTTTGTCATGAAGTCTTTGCCCATGCTTATGTCCTAAATGGTATTGCCTAGGTTTTCTTCAAGGGTTTTTATGGTTTGGGGTTTTACATTTAAGTCTTTAATCCATCTTGAGTTAATTTTTGTATAAGGTGTAAGGAAGCAGTCCAGTTTCGGTTTTCTGCATACAGCTAGCCGGTTTTCCCATTACCATTTACTGAATAGGAGATCATTTCCCCATTGCTTGTTTTTGGCAGGTTTGTCAAAGATCAGATGATTGTACATGTGTGGTGTGATTTCTAAGGTCTCTATTCTGCTCCATTAGTCTATATGTCTGTTTTGGTACCAGTACCATGCTGTTTTGGTTACTGTGGTCTTATAGGATAGTTTGAAGTTAGGTAGCGTGATGCCTCCAGCTTTGTTCTTTTTGCTTAGGATTGTCTTGGCTCTATGGCGTCTTCTTTGATTCCATATGAAATTTAAAATAGTTTTTTTTTCTAATTCTGTGAAGAATGTCACTAGTAGTTTCATGGGAGTATCATTGAATCTATAAATTACTTTGGGCAGTATGGCTAATTTCACAATATTTCCTATCCATGAGCATGGAATGTTTTTCCATTTGTTTGTGTCCTCTCTTATTTTCTTGAAAAGTGGTTTTTAGTTCTCCTTGAAGAGGTCCTTCATGTCCCTTGTTAACTATATTCCTAGGTATTTTATTCTCTTTGTAGTGATTATGAATGGAGTTCATGATTTGGCTTTCTGCTTGTCTATTGTTGGTGTTAAGGAATGCTTGTGGTTTTTGCACATTGATTTTGTATCCTGAGACTTGGCTGAAGTTGCTTATCAATTTAAGGAGTTTTTGGTATGAGATGATGGGGTTTTAAGAGGAGCCAGCTATCTGGATTCTAGATTTTATGGGCTAAATGGTGTCTCTCCCACCACAACATTTATATTAAAGGGAGCTTGGTACTCTAAGCCCCAGTAACTCAGAATTTGACTGTAGTGAGAGATAGATTCTTTAAAGAGGTAATTACGTTAAAATGAGGTCATATGAATATACTGTAATACAGTAAAACTAGAGTCCTTATAAGAAGGGGAAATTAGGACACAGACCCATACAGATGAAAGACCATGTGAAGACAGGGAGAAGGTTACCATCTAAAAGGCAAGGAGAGACAGTAGAAGAAACCAACCCTGCTCACACCTTGGTCGCAGACTTCTAGCCTCAAAAATCATAAGAAAATAAATGTCTATGGTTTAAATCACCTGCTGTGGTGCTTTGTTATGGCAGCCCACACCAACTAACACACAAAACTGAAATTTCATATTTTCATTGATGGCTACCATTTTAGATCAGAATGACAACTATATGCTGGACAGATTCTTCTGTAGATAACATCAGACCCACCTAGCAAATGTGTGCTGAATTTGCTAAAAGTAAAATATTAGCTAGGAATGGACCATGTTTTCCTTTAATACTTTTGTTAAGACACAAACACCAAAGACTTTCCATTTTTGCCACTGTCTTTTCTAAAGGATGAATTAGTATGATATAAAGCATTTGAAGCCTTAAGATGAAGGAACACTGCATTAAGTTCAATGTAATCTTCACTTTAAATCTCTTCTTGAGTGAAGAGTGCAAACATGCATCCCTGCCTGAACACAAAGGAATAAAACCTCGCCTAAGCACTCCTGACAGTCTTTCATGCCCACTTGAGAACTGGTCATCTGGAACCAGCCATCCCTACAGCTACCAGAAAATACAACTTCCTCTGTCACTTTCCTGCAGTATCACAAATTACAGAATGGCACAAGCGTGAAAGAGCAACTACTGAATGACGCGAAAAATATACAGCTAAGAGTGTGCAGGCGAGTGCAATGGTGAGGCTCAAAAGACTTGGTGGAGGGTAAAACACAGTGTGATCCTCAAGATTTGCCACCACAGCTGACTTCCTAATTACTACTATACTGCTGTTGAGGCAGGAGAATAGGGTCTGGAGGCAGGGAACCTAAGGCTGATTTACGCGGACTTCTAGAACTAAATCAAAAGGAAAACCCCAACTTTCCACACCTAAGTAACAAAAGGACTGGAGGATACGCCCTTTGCAATCCCCCCTCCTTTTCTGTGTGGCAGATAGAAAATTGAAAGTATCTCTGATTGGTTGCTTTCTGCAACCAATCAGATGATTGCATAGGAGTATAACTTTGTAACTTCACTTCAGCCTCTGATTGGTTGCTTTCCACAACCAATCAGACTAGTTGCACAGGCCACTACTTCATTTACGTAGGGTATACACCAAGTAACCAATGGAAAAACCTCTAGGGGGTATTTAAACCCCAGTAAATTCTGTAAACTGGCCCTTGAGTCCCTATGCTCGGGCCTGCCCCCCCGCCCCCCGTGGAGTGTACTTTCGTTTTCGATAAATAATCTGCTTTTGTCACTTGATTCTTTTCTTGCTCTGTGTGTTTCGTCCAGCTCTTTGTTCAAAACGCCAAGAACCTGTACATCCTCCACTGGTAACACTATCTCTGAATAAGATAAGGAGTAATATTAGAGCTATCGTTAATAATATAAATAATAGGAGATCTCTCTTGCCGGAAAAAAGGGGAAGCAATAGGCAAGAAATTAGACAATTCACCCACATCTACGCTGCTATTAACAAACCAATGAACAGGTTTTTCTCAGAAGATGGAGAATATCCAGTAATACTCTGCGTGAATTAGAACATTTGGTGTGATTAACTGATTTTTGAAGTGCACATATTTTGCCTGACTCTTCTAACTTATAAACAATGTCTAAGGATATTAAAACATTTTCTTCAATAGCTTTATATTGGTTTCTAAGATATCTTTATGAAAATATTTGTTTTCTAAGATGTTGAGGTAATTCAGTATTCTTTCAGTAACTTTTGTTTTTTCTTTAAAATTGTCCAAAAATTTTGAGCTCTAAAGTTTAAAATATTTGAAGACTTTTGCAGAAAGTTTTTACTAAGACTTAAGCAAAAGCGACTTCAGAAACTTGGTAATATGGTATTGCATGCCTAAATACTTGAAAAATTCCTATGATTCTTTAAAAATACTTTTTGAAAGTTCATGCCTAAAGACAAATGAAAAACTTGATTATTTCAAAAACTTATTGATAAATCTATTTTACTTTAAAAATATCTATTTAAAACGTTTATTTATAAAATGGAATATATAAAATGTGTTAACACTGCCTAAAGAAAAGCTTTAAGTAAAACTTGGCTAACCAAAATGCCAGCATAGTTGGTTTCCAATATCCTTTTTTTTTTTTTTTTTTTTTGAGACGAAGTCTCGTAGGCCCGGGCTAGAGTGCAATGGTGTGATCTCGGCTCACCACAACCTCTGCCACCCAGGTTCCAGCAATTTTCCTGCCTCAGTCTCCAGGGTAGCTGAGATTACAGGCACCTGTCACCAGGCCAGGCTAATTTTTGTATTTTTAGTAGAGACAGGGTTTCACCGTTTTGGTCAGGCTGGTCTTGAATTCCTGACCTCAGGCGATCCACCCACCTCAGCCTCCCAGAGTGCTGGGATTACAGGTGTGAGCCACCGCGCCAGGCTGGTTTCCAATATTCTTTGTTGAAATTGTCTGTTGTTGTTATTTGGAAACAAAGACAAATTGCAATTTGCGGATTTTACCATCACTGCTGTTTTGTTGTTTACCAAACGAACTTTAAATTTACTTTCTGGAAGCTTACTCAGATGCCTCCTAATCCTGTACATTTTATACATTTATAGTAATTTTCAGTGATAGTTTGTCATATGAATAATGAACCTAAAACCCTGAATCATTTGTATTTATCAAGGAAAGACTACTATAAATTCATTGAAATGTCTTTATTACAACAAGAAACTGCAACAACAAACTTTTGAAAGATTTATAGGAAGAAGGAATGGGTGATTGTGGATACCAGAGCTGAGCCAGAATTTAACAAGAAAGAGCAATGGCCTGGAATATTGCCCTCTAACTAGCTAATCAAAGGACTTTTTTTTTTTTTTTTTTTTTTTTGAGACAGAATGATGCTCTGTCACCCAGGCTGGAGTGCAATGGCGTGGTCTCAGCTCACTGCAACCTTCGCCTCCTGGGTTCAAGCAATTCTCCTGTCTCAGCCTCCCGTGTAGCTGGGACTACAGGCGCACACCGTCATGGCTGGCTAATTTTTTGTATTTTATTAGAGATGGAGTTTCACTGCATTGCCCAGGCTGGTCTTGAACCACTGAGCTCAGGTAATGCACCCGCCTTGGCCTCCCAAAGTGCTGGGATTACAGGCGTGAGCCACCGCGCCCGGCCCTAATCAAGATCTTAGCATCATAGCATGAGTTAAGGGCAAATACAGGTTCTCCTCACAGTCTAAGGGCTATTAATTGAATAATTAATAGTATTAAAATTTCACAGCAAGATGCCCTATGAAAATAAATTCAACTTAAGTGATAGATATTAAGAAATGCAAAACTTTCATTTTCAGATAATATACTATGAAAGCTAAAACAGTATACTACGTTTCAAACTCATTTAGTAATTATTCAAACATATAACAATCTCCTGCTGGTTTTTAAATGGATGTTTTACATTATGTGCCTTCTCTTCAAATGTGGCCTTTTCTAAGTTTTGATTGAATAGAATGGGTTTTTTTTTTTCAAGATCAAGTCTTTTTGTAGGGCTTGTTGTTGTTTTTTATTGCTAGCTAAGTGGTTCCTTGGAGATTGTGGATGAATATTGAGATTCTTTAGAGAAATGAAGTTCGTCTGTTACAATTACACTGGCATGCTTCCTTGAGAAAAGCAGAGGATATACAGAAACATCTAGGAAAGCCTGTACATTTTTGAGAAGTTAGAAAATTAGTTCCCGATTTTCTTTTCTTTTGAAAAAAAAAAATTTTGTTTCATTATCTCAAGAAATGTGGAATTAGCTAGAGAGGGTTGTCTTATTTTTAATTTGAAGGAGTGGATTCAAGTGAGAATTAATATAAACACATGCTAATAGGGCTGCTTTATGCTTATGAGGGGCAAGTTCTTCACCTTCAGCCACACTCAGGCACAACCATGAAGTGGGTTGAGTTGGCTCTCAGATCCTCAGCCAGTTTCCCCCTCCCCCTCCCCCTCCTCCTTTCTCACCACTTGCTGTACCCTGTTTTCTTCCCTCTGGCACCTGGTGTTCTCTTTACCCACTGCTGCTTCTCCCCTGTTGCTCCAGAGACAACCAGTGCTCAAGAAAAAAAAATAGTAAATGACTTCCATGAAAGCATCTTGAAACTCCGGTTTAGACAGAGTAATGCCAAGACTTGTGAGAGGGCTGAGATTTCACTCTGCTTACAAACCAACAAGCTTGCTAACTCCTGCAACAGCTCCACGGATGCTGGCAGAAGACATGGCTTCTGGGTCTGGGATGAAGGACAGCTTATTGCTCGTAGCAATAGTGGACAGAATATCAACATTTTCATGGATTCCCTGAGCCCTAATTCAGAGGGTCTGCATACAGCAGGGTGGATTTCAGGAGAGAGGTCTCAAGCTTAGGAAACCACAATCCTTTAAAAAGGACTGCAACCAAAGCTGCCCAACATACACCCCAGAGGGACATTATCTTTGTTCTAGTGGACAGCAAATACACCTTCATTCTGCACAGGCAGACGCCACCATTTCTACCTTCCAAAGTGGTTCACTATAAAAAGTTTTTTAGAAAATGTCCAGAACAAAAGATGATTAGTGTCTCTGCTCACAAGGGCAGAAAAGCAACAGACTCATGGAGAAGTCTCTCCCAACATGCATATGTTCTGTGTATGCAGGAGGGAGGAATTCATGGGTGTAAAGTTAAAATAGGGCATTCTATAAAGCCTACCCAATAAAATAATGTAATCTTACATTTGTATGGAGAAGAGAAAGTCTTCGTTGTTTTTGTCTGCTTGTTTTTGTAAGATGAACTATAAAACATAAAGCTCAAAAAATGCATGGTTGAGATGTGTATGTAATTGAAGTATTTTCAACTGAGGGTCATGTTAGTGTTTTAATATTGGCATATTTTAGAAGAGTGAAGATGGATTTAAAAGGTAGAGAAACACTGGCTTAATCACCGATTATCCACAGGGATGTTTACATTCAGTGGAGGCTAAAGCCTAATTCTAACATGATTTCAGTCATCGGCCAGGATGTGGGGCAGTGTTTTGAGGGTCAGAGAGAGGCCTTTTCACAGAAATTACTCCAAAAGAATGGAGGCCTACTCTATATCTAAAACATTGTCTGAATAATGAACACAATAATTAATTTGCTTACATTCCTTTTAGGAAATACTGAACAATTTCTTTGAATTCCTTCAGGGATCTTCGATATTTATTATACACATTTCAGTAAAGAATGTTAAAATAAGTATCCCTGTCCCAAACACCCAGTCTGTTTCTGGTATTTTGAAGGCGTGAATGTCTCATTAACCGAGACAATGGGAATGATGCTAAGAAAAGCTCTTTTTTATTTAACTCTCATGCTCAGTTTATTTTTATTCTCATAGTTATTATATTCTTTAGAAATATTATATCCTGGTTTCTGCAGTTACACTACTTAAGCAATGTCAGTAACACAGTCTTCTGCATAGCTCCTTGTTAGAAAAAAGCTTCCCTAATGCACAGACATAGGAGAGGGAGAATCAAACAGTAACACCTCTTGACATCCTCACCAGCACTGTCACTGGGAACTAATTGGAAGATAAACTCGGAGAAGCTTATTAACCCTCCTAATGTGGATAGGAATTGGATAGGGGCAGGGTGATAGAAATCAGTGCAGGGCAAAATGTGGGTGTCCCTTTCACTTTCACAGTTCAGTAAGATATAAATACTGTGTCATTTTTGTTTTCTTGTTTGCTTTTTATTTTTAGAGATAGAGGGAGAAATAATCTAGCATTGTACATTAAAGTAATACATTAGAAAAGGAGGAAAACTAATACAATATTTTTCCTGTAGCAAAACCCCAGAAATGCAAAAAGACAAGCAAAAAGCAAGGACTTGAGCTTACACAATAGAACGAATGTCCTTTACATAAAATGTTAGCATATCTGTACCAATAAACTAATTTCTAACCATAAATATTTGCATTACGAGAATAAAGATGAAAATAAACCAATACTTTATTAAATGGGGGTAAGAAAATTCTCAAGATAGAATGAAAGAAAAAATAGTAAAGATAAAAGTAGGAATTAATGAAAAAGAATAAAAATTAATTCTCATAAAAGACAGTTGCCAAAATAATAAAATAGTCTAACATCCAAAATCGGGCTAGCCTGATTTAAAAAAAAAAAAGAAATCTAAATGCTCCAAAATAGTGATGGAACTACAACATGCAATCTGAAACAGTAGAGAAAATGAAGACACAATTTAAAGCATGAGAAAATGAAAATAAATGGTAAAAAGTATCATGCACAATGAGATTATGCATGATTCTTTTACAAATCTGAAAATGTGTGAAACAAGTTATTCTGAAGGGAATATAGGTTGCCAAAATAAAATAAAAAAACATTTATAGATGAAGAAAGGTACAGTATCAAACTGTCCATTAACCATTGATCAAAAATTAATGTCCTCTAAGAGATATTAGGAGAGGCCCCAAGAATGATAGACTGGAGTAGGAAAATGTGGCACATATACACCATGGAATACAGCCATAAAAAAACGGATGAGTTCACATCCTTTGCAGGGACATGGATGAAGCTGGAAACCATCATTCTAAGCAAACTGTCCCAAGGACAGAAAACCAAACACCGCATGTTCTCACTCATAGGTGGGAGTTGAACAATGAGAACACATGGACACAGGGCAGGGAACATAACACACCAGGGCCTGTAGGGGGGTAGGGGGCTGGGGTAGTGATAGCATTAGGAGAAATACCTAAAGTATAATTAAAAAAAAATATATATATATATAGTCAATCTTTCAAGGAATAGATCAATATTGTTATGGACACATTTCCAGACTGTAGAGAAATATGAACAACTCTTATGTTCAAATATTCCATAAGTCTGATTCTTACACATGATAAAATCTGTCTACCACAGGAAAAAAAAAAGCTTCAAGCCAAACTCATTTTTGATTATAGATGCTAAGATTGAAATAAAGAAAAAGTAAGTTACATTGAGCTGTATAGACATATAAAATAGCACTTTAATACATTAATAGGTAAACTTAGTTTGCAAAATTATTTACATTGACACAAAAAGTTATTTGATAAATTCAATACTCATTTCTGATTAAAATTTTTTGTAACTGAGGGGGGAACACTTATTTCATTTAATTTAATATTTTAATTTATTTTGGGATGGAGTCTCACTCTGTTGCCCTGGCTGGAGTGCAATGGTGTGATCTTGGCTCACTGCAAACTCGGCCTCCCAGGTTCAAGCAATTCTCCCCAGTAGCTGGGATTACAGGTACCCACCACCATGCCCAGCTAATTTTCGTATTTTTAGTAGAGATAGTGTTTCATCATGTTGGCCAGGCTGGTCTCGAACTCCTGACCTCAGGTGATCCGCCCGCCTCGGCCTTCCAAAGTGCTGGGATTACAGGCATGAGCCACCACGCCCAGGCTCTTAATTTTAATTTTAATTGTCTAATGACAGAAACCATGAGAATAGTCCAGAAATACTTCTTAGAATAACACTTTAATACACATAGATTCTTGATATAATTTAAAACTATATTATTAAAGTAAATACCTTCCAATGTTTGCTTTTGCATTAATATTACCATGGGTATCAAGATAGTACTATTGAAACAAAAACAGAAAAAAATATAAAACAGAATTCAAATTTGCAAATGATATGGAAGCTGAACTATGTATACCTGACACTGATAGTTGCAATGCTGTATCAAGAGTTTCCCTGATAAGCTCTACTACTAATTGTACCAGCTAGAATAAAAAGCAACAATAGATTATAATAGCAAAATGTAAGAAATTAGATCTGATAATTAACGTAGTAGGGAGGGGATGTGAAGATATGTTGTTTAGAATAACTTAGTTTTTCTGAAGGACGTAAGATAGCTTAGAAAATTAAAAAGAAAGGTTGTGTCATAAGAGTGTGTAATGTAAAGCTCTTAACTTTCCACAAAGTAATTATTATGTTTAATTATATTATAATAAAAATTTCAAAAAGACTTTTTGAAGACAAATTGATTCTATAGTTAATCTAGAAGAATAATAGGATGATATAGATTATTCTGAAAGAAAATAAGAGAGCAGCTTATGCCAATATATATGAAAAAATATATGCATATAGAATAAATGTAATAGTAAGGAATTGAAACAAAAATAGAATAGCATCAATCAATAAAATAGAGTCCAAAAGTATGTATAAAAATGTTGCATTTAAATTGAAGATGAAATTAATTATTTAATACATAATCCTGGAAGATGTGTTTCACAATGAAGGGGAAGGTAAATTTAGATTATTTGCTCAATTTTCCAAAGTACTTAGCAAATAGATTAAATGTGTGTCTATAAATAAACTGGAAAATAAACTTATCTTAATAAGCATTTGTTGGGTCTCAAGATGAGGAACACCATGCTATATGAAACAGTGAAATCCATAGTAAACTCCATGAAAGGAGCAATTAAACACAAAATCAATTTTTAAAAAAATATTTAAAAACCACAAATCAGTGTTTCTCAATTTGGGTTTCTAGGTACCTAGTGTTGATGATTTATATTTATGATTTTATAGGTAATGTAATGTATCAATATTGCTTCATTAATTTTAACAAATGTACCACGCTAATGTAATGAATAAATATTAGGGGAAACTGGGTGCAGAGTATATGTAAATCTAAAACTCTCTTAAAATAACTCATTTTAAAAAATGGAAAATGTTAATACTAAGCAATTCAGAAAATCTATTACAAGTAATAGAAATTGCTAAGGTAAGAAAATATCATTAATCTCTTCAGCATGAAACAAATGTACCAATAAGTTGCCTTGTTTAACATATTAAAGTAATAAATGGGTGGATTTATATCTGGGTGCTCTATTCTGTTCCATTGGTCTCTGTGTCTGTTTTTGTGCCAGTACCATGCTGTTTTAGTTACTATAGCTTTGTAGTACACTATGAAGTTCAATATGAATTCAGGTAATGTGATGCCTCCAGCTTTGCTATATATATTTCAGGACCTTTTGTGGTACAAAAGTTTTTGGGTTACATGAATGAATTGGATAGTGATAGTCTGATATTTTAGTTCTCCCATCACCAGAGTAGTGTACATCGTATTCAATATGTAGTTTTCTATCTCTCATTCCCCCCGCCACCCTCCCTCCTTCTAAGTCTCCAGTGTGCATTATACCACTCTATGTCTTTGAGTGCCCATCAACTTTGTTCTTTTTGCTCAGGGTTGCTTTGGCTATTCTGGGTATTTTGTGGTTCCATATACACTTTAAGATTATTTTTTCTATTTCTGTGAAGAATGTTATTGGTACTTTGAAACGGATTGCATTAGATCTGTAGATTGCTTTGAGTATGGATATTTTAACAATTTGATTCTTTCAATCTAAAAACATGGAATATCTTTACATTTTTGTGTCCTCTTCAATTTCTAATATAATATTATTCAACTATGAAAAAGAATAAAATCCTGTCATTTTTAACAAAGTGGATGGGAAGTGGTGAACATTATGTTAAGTAAAATAAGGCAGACAGAAAAAGATAAAGTAGCATGTTCTCACTCTTATGTGGGAGCTAAAAAAAATAAAATTTTAAAAAAAAAAAGGAACTCAGGGTGATAGTAAGATGATACTTACCAGCAGCTGGGAAGGGAAAGAGGAGAAGGTGATTAAGAAGAGTTGCTTAATGAGTCAAACATACAGTTAGAAGGAATAAAAACTAGTGTTTGGTAGCACAATAGGTTGACTATAGTCCACAATTAATTTATTGCATATTTCAAAGTACCTAAAAGAGTGGAACTGGAAAGTTCCTAAAACAAAGAAATAATAAATGCTTGACATGATGGATATCCCTATTACCCTGATTTAATCATTACACATTATATACTTACATCAAAATTTCACATTTACCCCATAAATATGTACAACTATTATGTATCAGTAATTAAATATTTGAAAATGTTCAAGGAAGCATGCTTATAATTATCCTTTAAATCTGTATATGTAAACTCTTCATAATAAAGACTAATGTAGAAAAAAAAGAAACGTAAAAACTTCTTCTCAACTCATGCTTACAAGCTTCTTTGTTAAACACTTCCATTCACTGAAAGAAACAACACATAAAGCAACTTTAAAGAAGTATGCTTAGATTTACTTTTTAAACCTGTATAAAAAAAAAAAAAAAGTAGGACCAGGCACAGTGGCTCACACCTGTAATCCCAGCACTTTGGGAGGCTGAGGCAGGCGGATCACTTGAGGTCAGGAGTTCAAGACCAGCCTGGGCAACATTGTGAAACCCAATCTACTAAAAATACAAAATTTAGCCAGGCATGGTGGTGTATGCCTGTAATCCCAGCTACTCAGGTGGCTGAGGCACGAGAATCACTTGAACCTGGGCAGCGGAGGTTGCAGTGAGTCGAGATCGTGACACTGCACTCCAGCCTGGGTTCTCTATCTCCAATGAATAAATAAAATAAAATAAAATAAATTAGCAGAGGCTTTTAAACACCTACATTACACAGTGGCATTAATGTAGGGAAGGTTACTTTTATATATTATAGTGTTAATAAAGTATCACACATTTTCTGAAAGCCTCTTTGGCAATATATATCAGAAACCTTAAAAAGATTCCTATTTTTTGACTCACTCATTTTTGTAATCTACCTCATTAAAACAATCATAAAAACAAAACAGGACTTAACTTAGATGGTTTTATTTATGACTATTTATTTTGCTTCGGATTTTCTCAGAAGACCACAAACCCCTCTAGATATTTTAAATAGAATGAGATACAATACAGAGAATCAGAAGCTTACAAAATCATCAGAACTACTGGTGGAGCAAAGGTGACGGAAATTACTGCTCATTTCAGTAAATCAGAAACTGGGGAAGTTACAGAAAACTGTTACTGATCTCATATTTGCACCAAGGAAGTGAGTTAATACACCTGCCCACTGCAGTCCCTAGAGCAATAGTGACTTCCTTCACTCCACCTTCAAAATTCTGCTGAAATGCCTCTCGTTGGCAGAATTTAATGTGAAAAACTGTTGTCAGGAACTCTGGAAAACATAGTTCTCTGGCTCCCAGCCTTTTAATAAAGAGGAAAATATAAATGTGTATGGGGAAGTGGTGGTAGTGGCACTGTACTGTTAACAAAAAATGCAAGAATGGAAAAAATAAGTCAGCAATTTAAATGCCAATACTCTTCAGTGGGGAATAGTTTACTACATTGGAGTATTCATTTGATGAGATTGTATGCAGTCATTAAATATCCTATTCTGCAATACATGATAAATCATGTATCATTATGTTTTAATAAAATGAGAACATTTTTACTATTAATTGGATGAAAATGTAGTTCATAAAGCAGTAGAGTACAAACCTACTTTATTATATAATATAGCATCATTCTATTCAAGTTCAACTTTATAGTAAAACTAAAGATTTTCTAAATCCAAAATTCAATTTTCTAGACATAGTTCTAAAATTCCATTTTTAAAAGTCTATGGAAAGAAAATGAAGTTCTGTTAAGGTATATGTAGAATACCTGGAAAACAAAGTTCTATAAGTTTTTTTAGCTTAATGTAACATTAAGAGCCCATAATCTAAAATATTACATTGTCCAGTGATATTGTCATGTATTCTAGTTGTAGTTACTTTTAAAATAAATGCTAAGTTGGAAAAGAAAGCACATTTTTTATGGCTAGGTTTTGTAATAACCAGGTGACTATTCTAAAGATCTCATTCACTTATAAACCATAAAATTAAAAAATGTTTTCTCAATGGCCATAATAGTGGAGAAATAGGTTGCTTTTCTCCAGACATAGTGCTTTGAGTCTGTACTTCATGAAATATCATCTGTAATCATCTTTGTACTTACGAAATTATCAAGATGTAATTATCAAGATGGACACTATGGGCTATTGTTGGATGAACACGCCTTGACAAACAGTCAATACTTTAAAACAAAACAAGCAGTACATGAACATATTCCTTTCCTTTGCAGAGAGTTTATACCCTATTTCTAATTGTTGTTTGAGAAGGTATTTTAATAGAATGGAGTTATTTACTCTAGAGGCACACTCTGGGGGGTCTGCATAGGAATGTGAGTCCCAGGTGTTTTCCAGGTCTCTCTCTCCTTACTAATATTACTCAGCCACTCTGTCTTCTATTAGTTCTGTTTTGCCTCAGGTTTCCTAAATTGTCAATATTTTGTTTTGATTTAATGTCTAGAAAGAATTCCAGGATATATTTTTATACTAACTTTTGTTCAAAATGCAATTATCTCTCTTTATCCTCACTTCAGCTTCCATAAGAGCATTTAAAGGTCAGGGAAGAGTTTTTAAGCAGATCAGTTTGGAGAAGCAGAAAATCTCTATGGAAAAGTGCAGGGTCTAGTAGGAAAGACCATGTAGAAATCACTATATATTGTTTTATTTACTGTCCCCTATGACTATCTGAAAGACCTAGCTTAATGAAGATTGAATAAAAGCATTAAAAAGTAATGAAGCCATATAAATTCTGGGCTTGGGTTTAAAAATTATAATTCTAACCATTTTATAATAGTTGTTAAGATACACTCACCTATGCACACATATATTCAGAAATGTTTCTAATATATGCAAGTAGTACTGTGTGTATGATTATGAAGGGCATAATCAATGTAATTCAAAAAACAATAATGTAATTTGATTATAAGAATATTAGGATTTGAAAAATAATAGTCATATTCTTGCTAAATGAACAATTCAAATTAGTCACATTAAAGAAAATAATAAACTTTAATCTGTGAAACCCATTATTAAGAAACTTCATTTAATGGATTAATCTCATTGCAAATTGCATAGTGCTATACAAAAAATGATTACTAAATTGAAAAGTTTCCCCTTATGTACAAGTTAGATATATAATCTGTTTGTTTTTATGTATATTGTGTTTAAAATCCTCATATTGCTCAGGATTACCTTGGTTATCCGGGGTCCTTTATGGTTCCCTATTAATTTTAGAATTGTTTTCTAATTCTGTGAAAAATGATATTGCTAGATTGATAAGAATAGCATTGAATTTGCAGATTGCTTTGGGCAATATGAGTATTTGGCCACTTAAACAATATTAATTCTTCTAATTCATGAGCAAGGAATGTTTTTCTATTTGCTTGTGTCATCTGTGATTTCTGTCAGCAGTGTTTTGTCCTTCTCCTGGTAGAGATCTTTCACTTCCTTGGTTACATGTATTCCTAGGTATCTTGTGTGGGTGTGGATATTGTAAATGAGGCCATTTCCTTGATTTGGCTCTGAGCTTGAACACTTTTGCTATATAGAAATGCTACTGATTTTTTAAATTGATTTTATACCCTGAAACTTTATCGAATTAGTTATCTGTTCTAGGAGACTTTAGGCAGAGTCCTCAAGGCTTTTATAGAATCAGATCATCAGTGAAGAGAGATCATTTGATTTCTTTTCTGATTTTCAATGCCTTTTATTTCATTCTCTTGCTTGATTGCTCTGGCTAGTACTTCCAGTACTATATTATATAGGAATGGTGAAAGTGGGCATCCTCTGCTTGTTTCAGTTCTCAAGAGGAATGCTTTCAACTTTTTCCCATGCAGTATGATGTTGGCTGTGGGTTGTCATAGATGGATCTTACTATTTTGAGGTATGTTCCTTTGATGCCTAGTATGTTGAGGGTTTCTATCATGAAGGGATGTTGAATTTTATTATAAACTTTTTCTGCATCTGTTGAGATGATCACACACTTTTTGCTTTTAATTCTGTTTATGTGGTGAATCACATTTATCGACTTGTGTATGTTGAACCAGCCTTGCATTTCAGGAATAAAGCCTGCTTGATTGTGGTGCATTAACTTTTTGATGTGCTGCTGGAGTCACAAAATACTAATTTGCTAGTATTTTCTTAAGGATTTTTGCATCTTTGTTCATCAGGGATACTGACTTGAAGTTTTCTTTTTCATTGTGTCTTTTCCAGGTTTGGGTATTAGGATGATGCTAGCTTTGTACAGTGAGTTAGGGTGGAACCCCTCCTCCTTGGTTTTTTGGAATCGTTTGAGGAGAATTGCTACCAGGTCTTTTTTTGGATGTCTGGTAGAATTCAGCTGTTAATCCATCTGATTCAGGGCTTTTATTGGTTAGTAGGCTTTTTATTAATGATTCAGTTTCAGAATTTGATATTGGTTTGTTAAGGGTTTCAGTTCCTTCCTAATTCAATCTTGGGAGATTGTATGTTTTCAGGAATTTATCCATTTCCTTTAGACATTCTGTTTTGTGTGCATGGAGTGTTTACAACAGTCTGTGAGGATCTTTTGTGTTTCTGAGGGATTGGTTGTAATGTCACCTTTGTCATTTTTTAATATGCTTATTTAAATCTTCTCTCAGATTTTCATTTGTTAATCTAGTTATTGGTCTATTGATCTTATTTATACTTTAATATAGCCAACTTAATTTCATTGATTCTTTGTAATGGTTTTTGGCTTCAATTTTGTTCAGTTCTCAGATTTTAGTTCTTTCTTTTCTTCTGCTGGCTTTAGGCTTAGTTTGCTCTTGTTTTTCTCCTTTCTCTAAGTGTGATGTTAGATCATTAATTTGAGATATTTCTAATTTTTTGAGGTAAGTTTTAGCACTATAAAGTTTCCTCTTCACACTGCTCTTGCTGGATGTTGTATCTCTGTTTTCATTTATTTTTTAAAAATGTATTAATTTCTGCCTTAATTTTCCTGTTCATTCAAAAGTCATTCAGAAACAAGTCATTTAATTTCCATGTAATCATGTAGTTTTGAGGGATTTTCTTTGTATTGATTTCTATTTATATTCCACTGTGATCTGAGAGAGTATGCTTCGTATGATTTAGATTTTTTTGTATTTATTGAGACTTGCTTTATGGCTGAACATGTGGTCAGTCTTGGAGTAGGTTTTTTTTTTTATTTATTGAGACTTGCTTTATGGCTGAACATGTGGTCAGTCTTGGAGTAGGTTTTATGTGCAGATGATAATGTATTGTATAGTTGATAGGTGATGTATTCTGTATGTGTCTACTAGGTCCAATTAGTCAAATGTCAAATTTAAGTCTAGAATTTCTTAGTTTTATTCCCTGATGATCTGTCTAATGCTGTCAGTGGGGTGTTTAAGTGCCTTATTATTATTGTGTGGCTGTCTAGTTCTTTTCATAGGTCTAGAAGTACTTGTTTTATGAATCTGGGTACTCCAAGGTTGGGTTCATATATGTTTATGACAGTTACGTCTTCTCATTGAATTGAACTCTTTATCATTATGTAATGCTCTTCTTTGCCATAGCTCAACATCAAACTATACTATAAAGCTAAAGTAACCAAAACAGCATAGCACTGGCACAAAAACAGGCACATAGACCAATAGAAGAGAACAGATAACCCAGAAATAAAGCCACACACCTCCAATAATATGGTCTTTGACAAGTCACCAAAAAATTAGGAATGGAGAAACAACTCCCTATTCAACACACGGTGCTGGGATAGACTAACCGTATGAGAAACTAGACCTCTGCCTTTCACCATATACAAAAGTTAACTAAAGATAGATTAAAGGTTTAAATGTAAGACCTCAAACTATAAGAATCCTAGAAGAAGACCTAAGAAACAACATTCTGGACTCCAGCCTTGGGAAAAAAATTATAACTAAGTCCTCAAACACAATTGCAACAAAAACAAAAATTGACAGGTGGGATCCAATTAAACTAAAGAAAATGTGTACAGCAAAAGAAACTGTTAACAAAGTAAACACAACCTACAAAATGGGAGACAATATTTGCAAACTATGCATCCTAAAAACAACCCCATTAAAAAGTGGACAAAAGACATGAACAGATGCTGATCAAAATAAGATACACAAGCAGCTAACAAATGTGTGCAAAAATTCTCGACATCACTAATCATCAGAGAAATGCAAATCAAAACTGCAATGAGATATCATCTCACACAAGTCAGAATGGCTAATATTAAAAAGTCATAAAACAACACATACTGGTGAGGCTGCAGAGAAAAGGGAATGCTTACATGCTGTTGGTAGGAATATAAATTAGCCCATCCACCATGGAAAGCAGTTTGGAGATTTCTCAAAGAACTTAGAATTGTTATCCAGCACAACAATCCCATTACTGGATATATATCCAAAAGAAAACATATCATTTTACCAAAAGATACATGCACTCATATGTTCAGCATAGCATTGTTCAAAATAGCAATGGCATGGAATCAACCTAGGTACCCATCAATGGTGCATTGGATAAAGTATGGTACATGTACACCATGTAATACTGTGCAGCCATTAAATAAATGAAGTCATGTACTTTGCTACAACATGGATGCAGCTGAAGGCCTCTATTCTAACTAGATTAACACAGAACAGAAAACCAAATACCCTATGTTCACAATTATAAGTGAGAGCTAAACATTGGTACTCATTGACAAAAAGATGGCAACAGTAGACACTGGGGACAATCAGAGTGAAGAGGTAGGGATGTGGAGAAGTGTTGAAAAGCTGCCTATTCAGTATTATGCCCACAACCCAGGTGATGGGATCAGTTGTATCCCAAACCTCAGCATCACAAATATACCCATACAACACACTTGAACATGTTCCCCTGAATCTAAAATTAAAGTTGAAATTATTAAAAACAAAATTGTATTCTTGCATTAAAAATGAGTACAACAAATTTAAATGGATTGTGTGTAGTTTAAATATTAACAGTTCTTAAATAGAAAAATGAAATGTGAACACTAAGAGTTAACTTACACTAAAATATATTCTCAAATTCCTGGTGTGTTTTTAAGTGAAGTTTCCCTAACATCAGGATGTTAAATTAATAATCTCTGAGACATTTAAATTTTGTTATCCAGTATATTAGTCAGTATTCTCCAGAGAAACATAACCAACAGAATGGGATATATATACACACACACTCACACACATGCATGGTGATTTATTGTAGGAATTTGTTCATGCAATAATGGATACTGATAAGTCCCACAATCCGCTCTCTACAAATTGAAAAATGAGAAAAGCTATTGCTGTAATTCAGTGTGAATCTGAAGACCTAAGAATCAGGGAAGGCAATTTCTGAGGGCGGAAGAGGAGGGATGTCCCAACTCAAACAGAAGCAAATTCACCCTCTCTTCGTCTCTTTGTTCTATCCAAACCCTCAATGGATTAAATAATGTCTATCCACATTGGTGAGGGCCATCTTCTTTACTCAGTTTGCTGATTCAAATAATAATCTCTTCCAGAAACATTGTCACAGGCACACCCAAAAATAATATTTTAACCTCACTTTAGGCATCTCTTAGCCCAGTTGAGTTGACACATCAAACTAACCATAACACCAAGGAAATCATGTTAGTATTATTGCAAAGATATCCACAATGCATTTTTCTCACAAATGCCCTTTTTCCTGTAAATTGTATCACTTCATCTCTTAAATGCCCTCATCGCAAAAAAAAAAATAACATTGTATTGGTCAGTGTTCTTCAGAGAGATAGAATCAAAAAGATATATGTGAATACAGATATTTTAAAGAGATTTATTAGGGATACTAGCTCACATGGTTATGGAGGCAAAGTCCCGTGATAGGTTGTCTGCAGGCTGGAAACCCTGAGATGCTGGCAGCATGACTCAGTTTAAGTCCAAAGCCCCAGGAACTAGGGAAACCTATGACATAACTCTCAGTCTGAGTCTGAAGGCCTGAGAACTCAGGGGGCCACTGGTGTAAATCCTGGAGTGTCTGTGTAGAAGATCCTAGATTTCTGATGTCCCAGGACAGGAGAAGAGTATATCCCAGCTCCAAGAGAAAGAGGGCATCACCTTTTTGTGCTTATCCTCGTCCTCAGATGATTGAATGGTGCCCAGACACACTGAGGGCAGATCTTCCCCACTTAGTCCACCAACTCACCTGCCAATCTCCTCTGGAAGCACCTTCACAGAAAAACCCAGAAATAATCCCTTACCGGTTCTCTTGGTAATTCTTAATCCAGTCAAGTCAACACCTAAAATTAACCATCAGAAACATATAACTTTGAACAATTTGCGTTTACCTTTACCCACTCACATAAAAACACCATACGTAGGAGTTCAAAGGAATTTAAATTGTTTGCAATTTTTTTCTTTTATAACTAGGAATGTTAGCAAAACACCATACGGTGAGACAGCAAAGCACAGTGGCTTAGGAGCACAGACTCCAGGTTCACACTGCATAAGTTTGATCCTAGCTCTGTTATTTAATAATATAGGACACTGGCTAAGTTATTTAACCTCTCTGCCTTGGTTTGCTCCTTTGTAAAATGGAGATAATAAATATTTTCTACCTTATATGATTGGTATGATGATTAAATTTACTTATGTATGTTAATAAGTATATTGAACAATGGCCTGTAAGTACTTAATGATTAATTGAAATTATTATATCTCTTATTAAAGATGGTTTGCTTATATCTCATATAGCCATAAGAGATATTTTGTGATTGGGATCAGGAAAACAGGTTATATCAAAGGCAGGTAGTCACCTGTTTCTCTTTGCAATATTTTTAAAGATTTGATACTTTTAGAACAGTTTTAGTTCAAAGCAAATTTGAAAGGAAGGTACAGAGATATCCTGTATATTTCCTGCCCCCACACATGCATAGCCTCCTCCATTATCAACATCCTTGTATTAGTCCATTTTCACACTGCTATGAAGAACTACTTGAGACTGGGTAATTTATAAAGGAAAGAGGTTTAGTTGACTCACAGTTCCACATGGCCGGGGAGGCCTCAGCATACTTACGGTCATGATAGAAGGTGAGGGGGAATCAAGCACCTTCCTCACAAGGCAGCAGGAGACAGAGAGAGCGAGCAAAGAAGGAAACCACCAGACACTTTTAAACAATCAGATCTTGTGAGAATTCCCTCACTATCATGAGGACAGCATGGGGGAAACTACCCCCATGATCCAATCACCTCCCACCAAGTCCCTGCCTCAACATGTGAGGATTATAATTTGAGATAAGATTTGGGTGGGGACCCAGAGCAAATTATATCAATGAAGTGTGGTAAATTGGTTACAATTGATGAGCCTATACTGAAACATGATTATCACCCAAAGTCCATAGTTCACATTAAGATTTATTTTGTATTGAACATCCTATGGGTTTTGACAAATATATAATGAAATATAGCCAACACTATAGTAGCATACAGAGTGTTTTCACTACCCCAAAAATCTGCCATGCTGTATCTATTCATCCCTCACTCCCCACAACCTCTGGCAACAATTGAACTCTGTTTTTCTCCATAGTTTAGCCTTGTCCATAGTGTCACATGGTTGGACTCATACAGTATGTAGCCTTTTCATATTGGCATCTTTCACTTAGTAATATGTGTTTAACCTTATGTCTTTTCATGGCATTTTTTTCAGTGCTGAATAATATTCTATTTTCTGGTCTGTTTGTAGCACAGTTCATTTATCCATTCACCTACTGCAAGAAATCTTCATTGCTTCCAAGTTTTGACAATTATGAATAAAGCTGCTTATAAACATTCTTGTTCAGGTTTATGTGTGAACATATGTTTTCAACTCTTTTGGGTAAATACCAAGAAGTGAGATTGCTGGATCATACCATAAGAGTATGTTTAATTTTAGGAGAAACTGCCAAACTGTCTTTCAAAGTGGCCGGACCATTTTGTATTTTCACTGGTAATAAATGAGAGTTCCTGTTGTTTTGCATCCTGGCCAATATTTGGTTTTTAAAGTGTTCTGGATTTTGGCCATTTTAGGTATGTAATGATATCTCATTGTTGTTTTAATTTGTAGTTCCCTGATGACATATGATGTAGAACATCTTTTTATATGCTTATTTGCCATCTGTAAATATTTTTTGAGATGTCTGTTAAGGGTTTTGGTCCATTTTAGTTAAGTAATTTGTTTTCTTATTGATGAGTGTTAAAAGTTTCTTTTATGTTTTGAAAAACAGTAGTTTATCTGGTATGTGTTTTGCAAGTATTAGTTCCCAGTCTGTGTTTTTTTTTTCATCTTCTTTATAGTCTTTTGGCAAAGCAGAAATTTTTAGTTTTAATGCAGTCTAGTTCACCAACTGTTTCTTTCATGAATAGTGCCTTGGGTGTCATATCTAAAAATTATTGCCAAACCTAAGGTCATGCAGATTTTCTCATGTGTTAATTTCTAGGAGCTTTCTAGCTTTGTATATTACCTTTAGGTCTGTGATCCACTTTGAGTTAATTTTTGTGAAGGATATAAGGTCTATGTAGAGGTTCACTATTTTCTGTGTGGATGTCCAGTAGTAAAGCATCATTTGTTAAGACTTTCTTTGCTCCATCGTATAGCCTTTGCTTCTTTGTCAAAGATGATTGTGGGTCTATTTCTAGACTCTCTGTTATGTTCCATTTATCTATTTGCCTATTCCTTCACCAACACTAAACACTAAACTTATTTACAGTCTTATTTACTGTAGCTTCACAGTAAATCTGAAAGTCAGATAATATCAAAGCTTCAACTTTGTTCTTCTCCTTCAACATTTTGTTAAATGTTCTGGGTCTTTTGCATCCCCATATAAACTCTAGAATCAGTTTGTCAATTTCTACAACATAATTTGCTGGGGTTTTGTTTGGGATGGTATTGAATCTATAGATTAAGTTGGAAAAAGCTGACATCTTAACAATATTGAGTCATCCTTTCCTTGAACATACATTATCTATCCATCTATTTAGTTTGTCCTTGATTTCTTTCATCAGAATTTTGTAGTTTACCTCATATTAATTTTGTAATTCTGATGGATTTTTCATAAGCATTTCATTTTTGGAGATGCTAATGTAAATGGAAGTATGTTCTTAATTTCAAATTCTACTTGTTCATTGCTGGTATATAGAAAAGCATTTGACTTTTTCTTATTAACCTCATATTCTGCAACTATGCTATAATTATTAATTCCAGGAGGATTTTTGTTGTTGTTGATTTTAAAAAAATTCTACATAGACTATCATGTCATCAGAAAAAACATGATTTCTTCCTTTTTTCTTTTTCTTTCTTGCTGCATTAGATAGGACTCTCAGTACAATGGCGAAAATAAGTGGTAAGAGGAGACATCCTTGCCTGTTCTTGATCTTAGAGGGAAAGCTTCTAGTTTCTTACCATTAAGTATGATGTTGGCTGTAGATTTTTTGTAGATATTCTTTTTCATGTTGAGGAAGTTTCCCCTTATTCCTAGGTTACTGATTGTTTTTATCATAAATGGGTGATAGATTTTTTTTCAGATAATTTCTCTGCATTTATTAATATACTTATGTGATTTTTTAAATTTAGTTTGTTGATGTGATGGATTACATTAATTGATTTTTAAATATTGAACCAGTCTTGTATACCTGAGATAAATCTAAGTAGGTCATGTTGTATAATTCTTTTTGTATATATTTGGATTCAATTTGCTAATATTTTGTTGAGGATATTTGTATCTATATTTATAGGAGGTATTGGTCATAGTTTTCTTCTACTGTCTCTGTCTAGGTTTGTTGCTAAGATGAGGCTAGCCTCATAGAATGAGGTAGAAAGTTTTTCCTCAGCTTCTATCTTTTGAAAGTAATTGTAGAGAATTGGTATAATTTATTCTTTAAAAGTTTGGTGGAATTACCAGCGAACACTTACGGACCTGATGCTTTCTGTTTTGGAAAGATTATTAATAATTGCTTTAATTTATTAAATACATATAGACCTATTCAAATTCTCTATTTTTGCTTTTATTAGATAGATTTTATTTTCTTTCAAGGAATTGGTTAATTTCATCTAGGTTATCAAAGTTTTGGACATAGACTTGTTCATAATATTCGTTATCTTTTAAATGTCCATGAGATCTATAGTAATGGCCCACCTTTAATTTCTAATATTAGTAATTTACATCCTCTCTTCTTTTTAGTTAGCCTAGCTAGAGGCTTATTGATTCAATTTATCTTTTCAAAGAAACAGCCTTTGGTTTCCTTGACTTTTCCCTATTGATTTCTTATTTTCAATTGCATTGGTTTCTTCTCCATGTTTTATTATTTATTTTCTTCTTCTTACTTTGAGTTTAATTGGCTCTTCTTTTTCTCATTTCCTAATTTAGAAGCTTAGATAAATGACTTTAGATATTTCTTTTCTAACAGATGCTTTCAATACTGTAAATGTCCCTCAAAGCATTGTTTTTACTACATCCAACAAATGTTAATAAATTATATTTTTATTTTTATTTACTTAAAAATATGAATATTTCTCTTGAAATTTTTCATTTTACCCATGTGTTATTTAGAAGTGTGTTCATTGTTTAATCTCCATGTATTTTAATCTCCAAAATATTTAAAAATATTTTTAAATTTCTCTTGAAATTTCCCACTTTATCCATGTGTTATTTAGAATGGTTTTCATTGCTTAATCTCCATGTATTTTAGGATCTTCCAGCTATTTTTTTCTGTTTTTTTTTTCTTGTTTAATTTCATTCCGGACTATAAAGTAATTTCAAATTTGTCAAGGTGTGTTTTATTGCCTAGAATATGATGTGTCTTATTGAATATTTCCTGTGAGCTTGAGAAGAATGTGTATTCTGTTGTTGGATAAAGTAGTCTGTAGATATTCATTATATCCAGTTGATTCATGATATTGCTAAGTTCAACTATGTTTTTACTGATTTTCTGCCTGCCATGGTCATCTATTTCTGATAGAGGGGTGTTAAAGTCTCCAACTATAATGGTGGATTTATCTATTTCTCTTGCAATTCTATCAGTTTTTGCCTCACATACTTTGCTGCTCTCTTGTTAGGCACATACATGTTAAGAATTCTTATTATCATAGTTCATTTTGAGCTGCTATAACAATACCACAGACTAATTTATAATAAACAGAAATGTATTGGCTCATAGTTCTAGAGGTTGGGAAGTCCAAGATGGAGAGGCTGGCTTCCTGCAAAAGCTTTCTTGCTGCATTATCCAATGGCAGAAAGGCAAAGAGAGGGTGAGAGAGCAAGAAGGGGCTGAACCCATTCTTTTATAATGAACCCATTTTCACAGTAATGAACTCACTCCCTGTATTAGTCAGGGTTCTTTAAAGGGACAGAACTAATAGGCTATATGTATATATGAAGGGGAGTTTATTAGGATAATTGACTCACAGGATCACAAGGTGAGGTCCCACAATAGGCCATCTGCAAGCTGAGGAGCAAGGAAGCTAGTTGGAGTCCCAAAACCTCAAAAGCAGGGAAGCCGACAGTGCAGCCTTCAATCTATAGCAGAAGACCCAAGAGCCCCTGGTAAATCACTGGTCTAAGTCCAAGAGTCCAAAAGCTGAAGAACTTGGAGTCTGATGTTCCGAGGGCAAGAAGCATCCAGCATGGGACAAAGATGAAGGCCAGAAGACTAAGCACACCTCTTCATTCCACTTTCTTTTGCCTGCTTTATTCTAGCCACACTGGTAGCTGATTAAATGGTGCCTACCCAGATTGAAGGTGGGTCTGCCTCTCTCAGTCTAGATTCAAATGTTAATCTCCTTTGGCAAAACCCTCACAGACATACCTATGTACAACATTTTGCATCCTTTAATCCAATGAAGTTGACATTCAATATTAACCATCACATTTACATAATAATGGCATTAATCCACTCATGAGAGCAAAGCCCTCCTGGCTTCATCACTTTTTTTGTTGTTGTTGAGACGGACTCTCTGTCGCCCAGGCTGGAGTGCAGTGGCGCCATCTCGGCTCACTGCAAGCTCCGCCTCCCGGGTTCACGCCATGCTTCTGCCTCAGCCTCCCAAGTAGCTGGGACTACAGGCACCCACCACCACGCCCAGCTAATTTTTTTTTTTTTTTTTTTTGTATTTTTAGTGGAGACGGGTTTTCACCGTGTTAGCCAGGATGGTCTCTATCTCCTGAGCTCGTGATCTGCCTGCCTCTGCCTCCCAAAGTGCTGGGATTACAGGCGTGAACCACCACACCCGGCAGGCTGCATCACTTCTTAAAGGTCCTGCCTCTCAACACTATTGCACTGGGGATTAAGTTTTCAACACATACTTTTGGAGGGACAAATTCAAACCACAGCAGTTATGGCCAATAATTTTCTCCTTTATCAATATGAGATTTTCCTCTTTATTCCCAATATATTTTATTGCTTTGAAACCTACTCTGTCTGAAATTAGTATAGCTACTCTTGCTTTCTTTTGATTAGTGTTAACAAGGTACTTCTTTCTCCATCCGTTTACTTTTAATCTACACGTGTCTTTATATTTAAACTGAGTTTCTCATAGACAACACAGAGTTGAGTCTTATTTCTTGATTCATTCTGACAATCTCTATCTTTTAATTAGTGCATTTAGACAATTGATGTTCAAAACTGATTATTGATATAGTTGTAATAATATCTACCAGCATACCAACTATACCAATTGATATAGTTGAAGAATTAATAGTGATATAATTGGATTAATATTTAGTACTGCTTTGTATTTGTTGCCTTTCTTTGTTCCTATTTTTGTCTTCCAGTCTTTTTTCTGCCTTTTGTAGTTTCAATTGAGCATTTTGTATGATTACGTGTTCTCTCCTCACTTAGCATACAAATTACACTTCTTTTTTTTTATTTTTATTTTTTGAGATGGAGTCTCACTCTCTTGCCCAGGCTGGAGTGTAGTGGCATGATCTCGGCTCTCTCAACCTCCACCTCCCAAGTTCCAGTGATTCTCCTGCCTCAGCCTCCCGAGTAGCTGGGATTATAGGCATTCATCACCATGTCTGACTAATTTTTGTGTTTTTTAGTTGAGATGGGGTTTTGCCATGTTGGCCAGGATGGTCTCAAACTCCTGATCTGTGATCTGCCTGCCTCCTCCTCCCAAAGTGCTGGGATTACAGGCGTGATCCACCACACCTGGCCACACTTCTTTTTAATACTTTTTTTTTAAATTGTTGTCCTGGAGTTGCAATATGCATTTATATATAATCCAAGCCCACTTTCAAGTAACAATATACCACTTCATGGGTAGTGTGAGTAACTTATAATAAAAAAAAACTCTTAATTTCTTCCTCCCATCCCTTGTATCATTAATGTCATTCATTTTACTTATATGTAAGTATACACACACATACACAATATATACATTAAGTATACATAATTAAATACATTTTTCATGGTATTTTTTTGAACAAATATTTACTTGTTAAATCAATTAAGAATAAGTAAACTAGAGCATGGGAAAGCTCAGAAACCAACACAAGATCCCAGAAAATGGGGCCAGGCATGCAGGGAAACTGAGCAGCCAGCAATACCTGTCAATGTCATGTTCCTTGATATGCAGCAGTGATGCTGGGCTGCAGCTGAGAGTGCCGTCCCATTGCAAGGAATATCAGGTCCATGCTTCTGCTGTCTCAGGTGCCCAAGCTTAGCATGGGTTCTCTCAGCTCAAGCCACCAGCCCTCCCTAGGACCCGAGAAGGTGAAGCCCTTGTGTGAAGTCCTGGCTCTTGTCAAGGCAGGGTGCTAAAGAAGAAACAGAAAAGAAGTTAAGAAAAAATTTTAATTTTATCTTTACTTACTTCTTCTTTGATGCTCTTCCATTCTTTGCATACATTTGAGATTTTGACCTATATCATTTTCCTTGTCTCCAAATGACTTAGGATGTTTTGCAAAGCAGGTCTACTGACAAGTCCCCTTAATTTTTTTCTTTGGCCAGACAAAGTCTCCATGTCTCCTTAACCATTGAAAGATAGTTTCACAAGGTACAGGATTCTAGGTTTGTGGGCTTTTTCTCTCTCAACACTAAATAATTCACTCTACTCTTTTCTTGCTTGCATGGTTTCTGAGAAGAAGTCAGATGTAATTTTTGTTGTTGCTGTTCCTCTGTAGGTAAGGTGTCACCCACCCCCTCTCTGGCTTCTTTCAGGATTTTTTCTTTACCTTTAATTTTATATAATTTGAAAATTGTGTGCCTACATACAGTTTTTTGACACTTATCCTTCTTTATGTTCTCTGAGGTTTCTGGATACATGGTTTCATGTCAGACATTAATTTGAGAAAGTTCTCAGTCATTCTTGTTTGAAATATTTATTTGGTTCATCTGTCTCTTCTCTTTCTTGTATTCCTATTACACTTTCGTAGTTTCCCCACAGTTGTTGTATATTCTGTTATAGTTTTTTTTTTCAGTTTTTATTCTTTATGCTTTTCAATTTTGGAGGTTTCTATTGAGATACCATCCAGCTCAGAGAATTTTTCCTGGACCATATTCAGTATACTGTTAACCACATCAAAGTTACTTTTATTTCTGTTACAGTGTTTTTTAGCTCTAGCATTTCTCTTTAGCTCTTAAGATTTCCATCTCTCTGCTTACTTTACCTATCTGTTCATGCATGCTGTCACCTTTATCCATTTAGAGCCCTTAGCATATTATCATAATTGTTTTAAATTCCGTGTCTGATAATCCAATATCCCTGCCATGTCTATCTGTGAGGCTTGCTTTGGCCCTTCAAACTGTTTTTTGTCTTTTTGTATGCTTTGTAATTTTTTTTCTTTATAGCCAGACACAATGTACTGGGCAAAAGGGAGCACTTTAAACAGGCCTTTAGTAATGTGGTGGTAAGGTATATGGGGAGGGAATATGTTCTACAGTACTCTGATTAGGTCTCAGTCTCTTAGTACCCCTATGCCTTTGGACTGTGAACATCACAAGTGTTTCTCAGGGTTTTTTTTTTTTTTTTTTTTTTCTGCCTCGTTAGGTGGGACAGGATGGTTACATTGGGCTGGAGTTGGTTATTTCCTTTCTTCCAGGAAAGTTGGGTTATGATAGAACCCCAACAGGTTGAATTCTGGTTAACCAGTTTCTCCTGAAGGCAGACCTTGTTAAGAACACAGCGTTCTGGCATATTGCAAAATGATTCATTTTCATCTTTTCCTGCTAGAAGGACAAAAAGATTTTTCTCCAATATTTGCTGTGAAAACCTGGTTGAGTCCCTTGGAGCAAAACTCACAAAGTGTGGGACCCGTCCTTTGACTGGGTCCTCCTGGAGTTTTAACTCTCAGACTCCTTCATACTTAGCCTCTAGCAATTTGTCAATTACAGTTCAAGTTTCTATACCCAACCTGTGAAGAAGGTTCATGGCATTCTAGTTACTATTTCAAAGGGAGGACTCTAAACATTTCCACCCACTGCACTTTGGGTGCACAAATCTATAGTGAGACAGAATACTTTCACACAACACATTCCATGAAGCAGATTTATTACAGATAGGCAGCAAGGGACAACAGAAGCCTAGGACTCATGACAAAGCTGTCCCCCAAGGTTCAGGAAAGCTTCATGAGATGGATGGAATCTCATCTGCATGCAACTTATGTCACACTGCAGCTAAGGGACCCCAAAAAGCAGCCTGTCCTCGGCTTTATACCCTGAGGCATTGTGATGCACTGGGGAAAAGCATTGTAGGATATTCTGCTCTAGGAGGAACAGGAACGCAGTGTGGGATATTCTAGCCAGTTATTCCTTATCTCAAGATGTTGCATTCCCAGCACATTTACAGCTATTAAGAACTACAAGGGCCAGGAGCGGTGGCTCACGCCTCTAATCCCAGCACTTTGGGAGGCCGAGGCAGGCGGATCATGAGGTCAGGAGATCGAGACCATCCTGACAAACATGGTGGAACCCCATCTCTACTAAAAATATAAAAATTAGCTGGGTGTGGTGGCACACACCTGTAGTCCTAGCTACTTGGGAGGCCAAGGCAGAAGAATCGCTTGAACCCAGAAGGCAAAGCTTGCAGTGAGCCAAGATCCAGCCACTGCACTCCAGCCTGGCAATAGAGCAAGACTCAATCTCAAAAAAAAAAAAAAAAAGAAAGAAAGAAAAAAGAAAAGAAAAAAGAAAAATAACTACAAGCAAGAAATCAAAGAGAGTTGGGTTGGCCCAAGGCCACCTGGAGAACTGTCAGCCAGCGCTTGTTCCCATAGAGGTTTTTGCTTCAGCATGTTGTGATTCTCTGTATCCCTCATCTGTCTCTTTAATCTGGGGGGCAGCAGTTTGCCCTGTGACCTTACTTCTGTTTTGGATCTAAGAAGAGTTGTTGGTTTTTCAATTTGCTCTGCTTTTTATGTGTTGTTAGAATAGAATGGCAACTTCCAAGCTCCTTACATGAAGAACCAGAAACTACAAGTCTCCATACCATTTTTCAAGTATGGCTTTACATTTTTAAATGATTGAAAAATCAAAACAATGATATATTCTGACATATGAAAGCTACACAATATCAAAATGTTAGGGTCCATAAATAAAGTTTTATTGGAACACACACAGCAGAGTTAAATATGGCCCAAAGCCTAAAATATTTACTATAACCCTTTAGAGAAAAATGTAGCTGACCTGTGGGCTATGTGTGCTACCGTAACAGTGTGACACTTTCTACCCTTCTTGACTAGAATACTAAAATAATCCAATAATTATTTTATGTTTTCCAGGAAATCAAGTAAAGCAGAATATTATTAAGAAACCTTTAGTTAGAATTTTTAAATTAGAAATAATTTCTTTCATAGTCCCAGAAAGTATATAATGGGTGAAGTATGAATGGGTGAAGTATGAATGGGTGAAGTATGAATGGGTGAAGTATGAATGAGTTTGAATTTGCATAACTGTTAACATTATCCATGTTTCCCCCCTCTCTATATATACACATATACACACACATAAACACACATATACACCAGTGATATCCTCTACAATGAAACATATTAATTATTCCTGTACTTTATTTAACACCAAAGTTTCTTGATTTTGTTTTTTTATTAGTAGATAGGGCTATTTTCTGAACCCTCTTACCAAGTCCTCTAATGACTTTAGAGACAACTGTATCTTATACACTTTTTAAAAGCAAATCTCCCTTCCTTGTCCAGTATGTTGTGAGCACAGCGTAGAACATTTGATAAAGACTTAGTGACTTGAATTAAATTACTTGCAGTTAAGTAAAACATCCCAAATCATGAACCCTCAATTATCTTGTCTGTGTTTACCATGTCCTAAGGCCTTTCAAATAGAAGTGACAATTTAAAAGTTCTAAAATAATTACAGCACCATATTGCTCACTATAAAGTACAACTGTCAATTACAAATTCAATTATCAGTGGCCACTTGTGAATCTAGAGAACTTCACAAATGTTCTGTCTTGTAGCTGAACTGGAAATGTTTTTAGGGTTGCCGTTTGTTTTATAGTTTTAAATATTTATAACCTGATTAATTATTTTCCTAAAATATTTTCGTTCTAGCTAAAAAATGTGCTAGGAACAAACACAATACCTGCTGAAAGTGACTTTTGTCCCTTTCGGTGTAGGGATAAATGTTATCCCACCTAAATAATATGACTCTTGTTTTTAATTAGGTTTAAAGTACCCTTTGCAGTTTGACCTTTCCCTGGAATGATCCATTTTCTATGCTACATTTTATCATGCTGCCAGTAATGTCATCAAAAACTTTTAAAGAACATATTAAATTGGCTTTAAATTTATATTGAGCTTTAAAATGAAACAGCATTAGGACATTGTGCTTCTTTGTTTTACACCTGCATACTCTTAACATTCCGGTGTTGGAGACTGGAATTCTTTTCACTCCAAGTACTTTAAGTTAGGAAGGAAAGAAGGAAGGAAGGAAGGAAGGAAGGAAGGAAGGAAGGAAGGAAGGAAGGAAGGAAGGAAAGAAAGAAAGAAGGAAAGAAGGAAAGAAGGAAGGAAGGAGGGAAAGAAGGAAGGAGGGAAAGAAGGAAGGAGGGAAAGAAGGAAGGAAGGAAGGAAGGAAGGAAAGAAGGAAGGAAGGAAAGAAGGAAGGAAAGAAGGAAGGAAAGGAAGAAAGAGAGAAAGGAAGAAAGAGAGAAAGAAAGAGAGAAAGAAAGAAAGAAAGAATGAAAGAAAGAAAGAAAACTAAGAAGTTATTTATGCTTTGTACAACAGAATGGGCACACAAGGATTCTAACAAGGATTTCAATTCTAATATCAGCACTTAGCCCCTCAATGTCTTTGAGCATGTTAAGTTGCAAAGCCCAAACGGCCTTATCTGATAAGGTGTCATTATCCCTTCTTTGCAATGTTCTTGTTAGAGTTAGAAATAATAGATGTAGTGCAATTGTCACCATAGGCCCTCAATAAAAGATGGTTGTTGTTGCAGCTGTTGCAATATGATCGAGGTCTTTACTGACCCAGTGAAAACCTTCTACTGCTTGCTCTAAGAAACCATTTCCTTCTTCCTAATTAGTCCTCAGTAAAGTGAATAAGTTATTAGAGAACATGGTCTAAAAACAATCATTTATATTAGGACTTCATCGTGTAGTTGAAACGTCATGCCATGGCTTGGAAATATCATGGAAATGTGGCATGAACTCTTCCCGGGGTGGTAGGAGATCAATGAGGAGCATTGGGAGCCAAGAAAAGAAGCCAAAAAAAAAAATCATTAGAGGAAACTTTCCTTCTCTCACCCATGTGCATTTTGAATTCAACATATCGTTGGCAGGTTTTCTTTAGGTCAAGGACAGCTTTAAAGAAAACTGTTTTAGATCCTCCAACTCTCCTTCATAAACCTATCCCACTACATAGCTTTACAAATTGCCTCTTTTGGAGATTTTCCCAGAACTATCCTCTTCACTCTGCACACAGCAAGAAATTAGCCTTCCGCTCTTTTACTATTCCGTTCCTTTACAATTCATGCTACTTCAGTATACTTAACCCAGAATTTATTCAAGTTTTATGTGTTAATTTAACAAATATTTATTTAGTGACTACCTTTATTGTACCAGTTAAACATATAACAGGAAACAAAACTCAAAAACAGTTCTGTCCTCACTGAGCTTATATTTTGGTGGAAAGATACAGACAATTAATTGAACCAAATAAATTATAGTGTATATTAGAAAAGGATAAGGGCTGTGAAAACAAATAAAGTAAGGAAGGGGAGTGAAATATACTGGGAAGTAGAGTTTCAATTTTTTAGAAACAGCTTCCCTGAGAAGATGGCAATTTAGTAACATAACCAAGGTTGCAAGTCAGGAGGTTATTCATGGTGAAAGCAATGTAGGAAGGAAGAACTGCAAGTGCAAAGGCCAGGAGGCAGGAAGATGCCCTGCATGGTCCAAGAAGATAAAGGAAGCCCTTCTGGTTAGATCAGAGAAGATGAAGTTGAATAGGGCTGGTGTGGAGGGACCTGGAGAATATCTAGACTCTTGTAAGCTACTGAAAAAAAAAAATGTTGGCCTTTAGTCTGAGTAGGATGGGAAACATTTGAATATTTGAATGAAGAAGTGAAATGATCTGACTTGTGTTTTTTTAAAAGCTCATTCTAACTGCCACGTTGAAAATGGATGATAGGAAAGCAAGTTGAAAAAGGCTGACCAGTTAGAAAATATTACAAATATCCAGGTCGTTTTATTGGTAGGGCTAGAAGGAAGTGGTTGGACTCTGAATACGACGTGTTAACAGATGGACGAAAGGGAACAGTGACAGTGAGGGTCATGGAGGACATAGAGGTTTTTGGTTTTTGCCCTGGAGTATTAGAAAGTTCAAAGTTGTCATAAATTGAGATGGCAAAGGTTACATACAGCCTGCTTTTGGGTTCAGTATCAGGACTGCAAATTTAGGCATGTTGACTTTGGGCTCTCTACTCATGATTCCAGGGAAGATGTGGAATAGGCACTTGAATATAGAAATCTGGAATTCAGGGGAGACATGATCTGGGGGTGTACAACTTGAAGAATTCCCAATATAGAGATGATATTTGAAGTTGTGAGACTGAAGGAGAATGCTAAGGGAGTGAGTGTAGAAAGAAAAGGTGGAAAGTCTGAGGCTGATCTTCATTTGCACTCTAATATTAATCGGTTGGTGAGAGAGGAAGAAGCAGAGAGTAGAAGCAGATGATGGAGGAATGGCTAAGGATTGGTGTAAAGGCCTGCAAATAAAATCGTGTCAAGGAACAGTAGATGAACAAGTAGGTCAAATGCTGCTGAATAGTCATTAAGATGAGGACTGAAAATAATGATGAGCCTAAGAAATGAGTTGGTGTGCCTGTATGGAGTAGTTTCAAGAAAGAATGAAAGTAAAAAGCTATTGAAACCAGAGAATACAGATTCTTACTTTTGAAAGTGAGTTTTGCTACAAAGGGGATCAGAAAAATTGGGTAATAGGTACAGAGGAAAACATGGTTATGATTATTTTTAATGAAAGAAACGTGTTTGTATGATAATGGAAATGAATCAGTGGAGGCTAAAACAGTCAGTAATGTAGGAGAAAGGGGGAATTGCTGGAGAAATTTCCCTGAGCAGGAAGGGGAAAGGGGCTATAAGATCTGGTGCACAAGAGAAGGATCCAGCTTTAGGAGCAAGGACAATTAATCTTGTTAAAAGAGGGAAGACTGAGCAGATGACTCACTGGTTAGATGTAAACAGCCTCTCAGCCTTTCTTGGAGCATTCTCATTTAGATATAAGATACTATTTAAGTAACGAAATATCTAATCATATCATTTCAGTAAATTTAAATGAAGAATTTCCATTAGGATATGGAACTCACTTTTTTATTTTTTTATTATACTTTAAGTTCTGGGATACATGTGCAGAACATGCAGGTTTGTTACGTAGGTATACACGTGCCATGGTGGTTTGCTGCACCCATCAACCCGTCATCTACATTAGGTATTTCTCCTAATGTTATCCCTCCCCTAGTCCCCCACCCCCCAACAGGCCCTGGAGTGTGATGGTCCCCTCCCTGTGTCCATGTGTTCTCATTGTTCAACTCCCACTTATGAGTGAAAACATGCAGTGTTTGGGTTTCTGTTCTTGTGTTATTTTGCTGAGAATGATGGTTTCCAGCTTCATTCATGTCCCTGTAAGAGACATGAACTCATCCTTTTGTATGGCTGCATAGTATTCCATGGTGTATATGTGCCACATTTTCTTTATATATATATATATAGAGAGAGAGACTAGATAGAAACTCTTAAATCCTAATATGCAAATCTAACCTGGGAAAACCATTACACTGGTTAAAAGTAGCCCATTTGGGATGCACAAAATTCATTTTTTTCCTTATGCCTGACAGGACATCCAGCAACTCCAGTTTGTAAATGAGCTTATTCATTTGAACTGGGATCCATAGCTTTACTCAAGAATGAACAGCTTGGTTCATCTCTCCTTGAAAATTGCTGTTAGAATTAAACTCCTTAGTCAATCTTTTAACTCAACTGTTTCAAAACTCCTTTGGTTTTGAATCAATAAAAGCATTGAGGATGTGGCAGTTGAGCAGATGGGTGGTCCACTTGGTAAAGCTTTGTTATCTCCATGTAAGCCACAATAAAACTCTGACCTGACAAAAAGAAAGTGTTTACACAAATCAAAACAGAAACCTCTATACTATAAGTTACACAGTGTTTCCAGTTGGTATCTACAAGTATTAATGCAGACACAGTGACAGGTTTCAAATAAACTTGATAGAAAAGGCCATTCATATTTTATCATGTTGGGTTGATGGACTTACAATTGAGAACAATGTTTTACTCAAGCTTAGTGAAAACTCCTAGGTAGTAATCAATATTCTCAGTCACCATTGCATTGAAAATATGTTCTTGTCTATGTCGACAAAGGCATCAAATTAAACTTGCAAAGGTAGATTATTTTTTATCTTTTCTCCTGATGTAACAAATACATATTATAACTGAAATTGCAATATAATAAATTAAAAAATAAATGCTATTCAGATTTGAAAGAAAATAACGGGACATCTAATCCATGGCTCTATTAATGCTTTATATTTTGTGGCTTAAAACCATCTTTCTAAATATTAAATATAAATTCTGCTAAAATAGTGAGGGGGACATAGTTGAAACTTACTATACATCAAACTACGAGTTTCCAATCTTTAAGCAAAAATATAGTTACTAAAATGTTGTTTACAAATTATTTTTAAAATTTTAATACTGACATGCAATTAAATGATCCAAAGGCTTCATACATTTACCACATGTTAAATGAAGAACACGCTTTTGAAGAAATCTGAGGTTTCATAAACTGTTATTTACTGAGTTTGTTTTGCATCCAAGATCTCAGGAGGATTTAATCTTTCATCTGTTTTTCAAAGCCTCAGTTACATTTTATTTTTTATTTTTTGAATTTATTTATTTATTTATTTATTTTTTGAGACAGAGTCTCTCTCTGTCACCAGGCTGGAGTAGAGTGGTGCGATCTCAGCTCACTGCAACCTCCGCCTCCTGGGTTCAAGCAATTCTCCTGCCTCAGCCTCCTGAGTAGCTGGAACTACAGGCATGCACCACCATGCTGGGCTAATTTGTGTATTTTTAGTAGAGACGGGGTTTTGCCATGTTGGCCAGGATGGATTTGATCTCTTGACCTCGTCCATGTCAGCCTCTGAAAGAGCTGGGATTGCAGGCATGAACCATGGTGGATGGCCTGAAATATTTAATTGACATAACGATTATACATATTTAAGGGGTAAAAGAAGATTTGATATACATATATAATTATCACAATCAAAGTAATTAATGCATCTATCCTGCATTAATTAATCCAGGCTGTACATTAGACCTCTAGAACTTGTTCATCTTATAACTGAAAGTTTGTACCCTTGAACCAACATCTCCTCATTTACTCCACACCCTATCCCCTGACAACCACTATTCTCCTCTTTGTTTTTGTGACTGAACTTTTAGATTCCACATATATGTGAGATTATACACTATTTGTCCTTCTGTGTCTGGCTCATTTTACTTAGCCTAATGTATTAGTCTATTCTCACACTGCTATAAAGATACTACCTGAGACTGGGTAATTTATAAAGGGAAGAGCTTTAATTGGCTCACAGATCTGTGTGGCTGGGGAGACCTCAGGAAACTTACAATCATGGTAGAAGGCAGAAGACAAAAAGGAATCAAAGCACGTATTACATGGCAGCAGACAAAAGAGAAGAGTGAAGCAAGCGGGAACTGCCAAACACTTTTAAAACATCAGCTCTCCTGAGAACGCACTCACTACAATGAGAAAAGCATGGGGGATACCGTCTTCACGATCCAACTACAATTCAAGATGAAATTTGGGTGGGGACACAGAGCCAAACCATATCACCTAATGTCCTCCAGTTTCATCCATGTTGTCACATATGGCAGTGTTTCCTTCTTTTTTAAGGCTGAATAATATTCTATTCAATACAGCACATTTTCTTTGTCCATTCATCTGTGACTGACACTTAGGTTGTTTCTATTACATATCTTGGCTCTTGTGAATAATGTGGCAATAGACATGGGAGAGTAGATATCTCTTTGACATACTATTTTATTTCCTTTTGATATATACCCAGAAGTGGGATTGCCAGATCACGTGATAGTTCTATTTTAAGGTTTTTGAGGAAGCTCCATGATATTTTCCATAGTGGCTGTACAAATTTACATTCCCACTAACAGTGTACAAGAGTTCACTTTTCTTTACACCCTTGCCAACATTTATTATCACGTGTCTTTTTGATAACCATCCCAGCAAGTATGAGGTGATACCTCATTATGGTTTTAATTTGTATTTTTCTGATGATTAGTGATGCTGAGCATCTCTTCATATACCTGTTGGCCATTTATATGTCTTTGCTGGAAAATGTCTCTTCAGGTCCTTGGCCCATTTTTGAATCAGGTTATTTTTAAACATTGAGTTGTGTGAGATCTTTATATGATTTGGACATTAACTCCTCATCAGATATAAGGTTTGCAAATATTTTCTTCCATATCATAGATTGCCTTTTTATTTTGTTAATTGATTTTTGTTTTTGTTTGTGATTTTTGCTGTGTGGATACTTTTTAGTTTTATATAGTCCTGCTTGTTTATTTGCGCTTTTGTTGCAAGACACAAAATCAACATACAAATCAGTTGCATTTTTATACACTGAAAACAAACCAACTGAAACAGAAAATAAGAAAATGATCCCATTTATAATAGATAGCATTAAAAGAACAAGAGACTTAGGAATACATTTATCCAAGAAGGTGAAGATCTGTACACTGAAAACTATCAGACATTTATGAAAGAAATTGAAGAAGGCACAGATAAATGAAAAGATAGCCCATATACATGGATTGGAAGAATCAATATTATTTAAATGTACATATAAACCACAGCGATCTACAAATTCAAACTAGTCATCAAAATTCCAATGGCGTTTTTCACGGAAATGCCGTTTCACAGAAATGCCACAGAAAAGACAATCCTAAAGTTTTAATGAAACCACAAGACTGCAAACAGCCAAAACGCTCCTGGGAAATAACAAAGCTGGAGGCATCACAGTCCTTGCTTTCAAATTATGTTACAAGACTATGGTAGTAAAACAGTATGGTCTGGCATAAGCACAGACACAGAAATACAACAAAAGAGAGAGCCTAGAAATAAATTTACACACACATTATCAACTAATCTTTGACATGGCACCAAAAATACACAATGGGGAAAGGATAGTTTCATCAATAAATGATGTTTGGGAAAACTGGATATTCATATGTAAAAGAATAAAATTAGACTCCTGTATTATCCAATGTAAAAAATTAACTGAAATGGATTCAAGACTTAAATGAAATATCTGAAACCATAATATTCCTAGAAAAAAACGTAGGGGGAAACTTTCTGACATTGATCTTGGTAATGACTTTTTTAAAAGCGTTTATCTTTTCTTTTTCTGAAGAACAATTATTGAAACCACCATTTCAGGGTGATCTGTAACTGGTAAGCAAAATAAACCATGTAAAAGAGGAGAAGCCTTGAGTGTAGATGAATGTGGTTTCTCTAGTTCAATCATAACATTAAAATTTCATAATTAAAGAAAATTAGTTCTATTATTTCTGTATTTATGAACAAATTGGACAAACTATTATCTTCCAATCTGTAACTGTACATGGGCTTTTCAGATTGATTCTACCTAAAGAAAATCAAAACGAAGGTTTATATATTCCTTCAGTAAAATCACTCATAGTTTCCCTTATTTAGTTAGCATGGTGTCTTTATAAACAGATGACTTAAAAGTGAACAGAAAATGGAGAACAAAATAACTCAGGATCCCACCTTAGAGATAAAGCTCTCATGACTGTTTTAGCAGGGTTAACAAACGTTCCCTATTTCTTCCATAAGTTAGGCTGCCTGGGTCCATGACACGGCTTGATGGACAGGGTGATCCCTAGTCACCTGTGCGCAGCTGCTGCTTCTGCCAGCTGAACTGTTGACTCACAGAGTCTGCAATATTTCTTTTCTTACATTAAATTTAAGCCATCTTTACTTGCTATTTTAATTCCACAATTTAACAAATTATAACATAACCCTAATAAAATGTGATATGTAGAGAAAACAAACTTTGTCATGAACACCTACTTTAATGATTTGTAAAGACTCCAAAGTGTTATTTAAGTATTATATTAAAGTATTGTGGTGTGAGAACCATAAAATTTTGACCAAAAAAGCAAAAAAAAAAAAATGCAACAAAAATTAATAGAGACAGTTGACTACTGGTCACACTCTAAAGAAATTGTTAATATTATACACACACATACACATACACATGTAATTTATTTTTTAAATACTATGCTGCAGTGATCCAATTATACCTTATTTGAAAAAAGGAAAAAAGTCTTATATAAAAACATTGATGAATTAATGAAAATGTATATGTCTAAAACAAAGATATATAATTTAAAATAATTTTCATCTTTTATCAAATATTTTGATTTACTATCAGTCTTGATCATATTATTTCCATGACAGTAATTATTTGCTATATTCACTCTAAATTCACTGTCTTTATTACATCTCTTTGTAATTATTAATGAAAATATTCCACTTTTAAATACCTATGTTTCCCAGGGGTTGCTTTGTGTAAAAAATATTAGCATGCTACAAACTATGAGCTATCCACAGTAAAAAAAAAAAAAAAAAACTCAAAAGAAAATCTAATTGCTATTTTATTCATTTGATTTTATAACCTCAAACTCACAGAATACTGAAGAATAAACTTTTCTCCTGATTCATTTGCAAGTAAGTGGGCAAGTTTCCATCCATCATCTCCAAATACTTTTGTGTCTGTTTTCTACAAGCAAGAACATTATTCTACATATCCAGATTACATCCATCAAAATCAGGAAATTAACATTATTTCACTAGTTCTTTCTAATCCTCAGATTCCATTTGAGTTTCACCAGTTGTCCCAAGAGTATTCTTTTTTTTTTTTTTTTTTTTTGAGAAGAAGTCTTGCTCTGTCACTCAGGCTGGAGTGCAGTGGCGCGATCTCGGCTCACTGCAAGCTCCGCCTCCCAGGTTCACACCATTCTCCTGCCTCAGCCTCCAGAGTAGCTGGGACTACAGGCGCCTGACACCATGCCCAGCTAATTGTTTTTGTATGTTTAGTAGAGACAGGGTTTCACCGTGTTAGCCAGGATGGTCTCGATCTCCTGACCTCTTGATGTGCCCGCCTCAGCCTCCCAAAGTGCTGGGATTACAGGCATGAGCCACCGCGCCCGGCCCAGAGTATTCTTTATAGCAAAACGATGCAGTTCAGAGTCACATGTTGCAGCGAGTTTCATTGATCCTTAATTTCCCTCAGCCTGGGAGATTGCTGTCTTTCCTTGACACTCAAGACTGAAATTTTATCGATGAGGCCGTTTGTTTTGCAGACTTGGTCTTCATTTGGGTTTCTCTCATGGTTAGTTTCAAGTTTTGCATCTTTGGCAGGAATATCACAGGAGTGATCCTGTTTCATACTCATCATGCCAAGGGCTGCACAGTTTCAAGCCATCCCATTATTGTGATTATTTGATGCAGACGCTTTGATGGTTAATGTTATGTGAACTGAGCTAGGACACAGGGTGCCCAGACATTTAGCCAGACATTATATTCTGGGTGCTTTTGTGAGGGTGTTTCCTGATGAATTGGCAGACTGAGTAAAGCAGAAGGGGCTCCCCATTGTGGAAGAGCCTCATCCAATCAGTTGAAGGCCTGATTAGAACAAAAAGACTGACTCTTCCCCGAGTGAGAGAGAATTCTTGCTTGCTGGCCTTGACTTAGACATTGTTTTTTTTTCCTGTCTTTGGACTCAAACTAGTATTAAACTATAGGCTTTCCTGGGTCTCCAGCTTTCCAGCTCACCTGGAAGATCCTTAGACTTGCGAGGTTCTGTGATTACCTGAGACAATTCCTTACAATGAACCTTTTTATAGAGATGGAGTTTTTGGTGTGTGTGTGTGTGTGTGTGTGTGTGTGTGTGTGTATTTACATATACACATACACGTGTATCCTATTTGTTCTATTTCTCTGAAGAACCCTGACTAATACAGGTGTTGTGTACCAGACTTCCCCACTATGAGAATGCCTTTTCCCTTGGCAATTAGTATTTTTGTGGAGGTACTTTGAAATATAAATGCCTTCTCCTAATCAGATCTCACATTTATTTCTTTATGTACTTATATCGGTATGGATTAAAAGTGTCCTATTTTATTTAAGGTGTAATAATCCATTCTCGCTTCTATTTTTTCACACTGAAGCCCACATTGTTCCAGATTTAACCCATGGGAGCCCCTTCCAGCAGGTGTCTGTGTCCTTTCATTATGGTGCTATCATTTCGTGAGTGTCTTCCTGCTTTCTGGCAGTAAATGTTGTTCCAAAATCATCTTGTATTTTCCCAACTTGGAATATAATAAGCCCATTCTTCAAGGTCCTCCCAGTAGATGCCCGAGGGACTACATGCACATCTGTGTGTAGATGAATAACATACTTATTCACAACAATACTTAATTTGCTACTTTTAAATATGAAAGACCGTGAATTCACACAAGTACTTCCAATGCCAACCCAATGTCATAGGGTTCATTCCAGTCTTCCTCTTTGACATAATTTGACTCTCTTTTCCAACTGGAAAAATCCTGGCTCCCATTGTCTTTGATATACTTATTTATATACTTAACCCCCAGTTATAAGCAATTTCTTGTCACTACTGCTGCCATCTCTCCATGTCTGGATACCCTCCAAACCTAACTCAGGCACTGACCTCCCCACTGCAGGAAACTCCCCCTACTGCAGGGACGCTGTCTTCACTAACACTTCATATCAAGCCATTCTCACTTGAGAAAGCCTCTTCACCTGCTCAGACTCTGATACGCTGTGTGGGCTGCCCCCATTCCTTGGTTGCCCTAAACCCCACTGGCTCTCTGATTTTCCATGCCTGGCTAATTCTCTATATAACTGTGCCTATTCTGCTGTGTGTCACCTACTGAGTTTTCATTTCAACAATTACATTTTATTTTAAGCTTGTTTTTTTTTTTTTAACAGTCTATCCTCCTTTAAACATTTCATGTACTTAATAGTCTGTATCTGATCATTCCAATTTCACTGGAGTCTGTAAATTTTGTTTATTGTTTGTACTCACTCTCACTTGTCGTATTCCTTCAATTTTTTTTTCTTTTTGGTTGGTTTTTTTTTTCTTTTTTAAATCTTAACCTGTAAAAATCCCAATTGTCTAAATTGAGAGTGCTTTCTCTAGAAAGAAATTTCTATTTTATTCTGCTCGGAGCTGGGGGCACTGCCAACAATCTAGTCAACTCCTGTATGACTTATTTTGATTTGATAGCAGAAACCTGGGACTCACCTTAGAGTTCTCCTATCCCCTTATCTCCCACATCCAATTACTCAATTCATCCAACTCCACTTCCTAAAATCCTCCCATCCAGTAACCTAAAGCAACCCTCTATTGCTCACCTTCCACAATGCTAAAGACTGATGTAAAAATAAACCTTACCCTGTGATTGCCATGCCCAAAATTCTTAAAAGGCTTTAGGTAAAATTTATACCCTTTGGATTGTCAAAAACATGATGACTTAATCTTTTCTTGTCTGCGTATCTAGCCACCTATCATGCCACTTCCTTTAGCCTTCACCTCCTCTTTTTTTTTTTTTTTTTTTTTTTTTTTTTTTTTTTTGACAGTGTCTTGCTCTGTTGCCCAGGCTGGAGCACAGTGGTGCAATCTCAGCTCACCGCAACCTCAGACTCCCAGGTTCAAGCAATTCTCGTGCCTCAGCCTCCCAAGTAGCTGGGACTACAGGCACATGCCACCACACCAGGCTATTTATTATTTATTTTATTTTAAGTAGAGATGAGGTTTTGCCATGTTAGGCAGTCTGGTCTGGAACTCCTGACCTCAGGTAATTCACCTGCCTTGGCCTCCCAAAGTGTTGGGATTACAGGTGTGAGCCACTGTGCCTAGCCTAGCCTTCACCTCTTGAATTGTACTCTGGCAATAACAGACTCTGTTGTTTTCCAAATGTGCCACCATATTTCTGCACATGCCCAGGGTAACCTGTCTTCTCTAACTAGTTCAAGTGCTGGCTCCACTTTGAAGAGTGTATCTTATCTACAACTCCATGCAGCTCATTTCACTTTGCGTTATGAATGCTTATTTGAATGCCTGTGTTTATAATGAAGTGCAATTTCTTTAAGGTCAGGGGTCATGTCTATTCACTTGTGCATTTCCAGTTTCTATTAAAGATTAACATGGAATAAATTCTCAAGAATAATGGCTGAATCCACTTCCAGCATGCAATAAGCAATTACTGCTGGCATTTGTACAAGTACACAGTGGTGGAAATTCAGTCATATGTACATTTCTATCAACTATTACTAAAGCAGAAGTATTATGAAACAGTTAAAAAATATACATGGGTTATGATTATCCCTGTTCATTGAAACAGTCCTGGAAAAACATTTTTTATCAGGTTGTAAACACTCACTTTAAAAATTAATAAAAAGTTAATATAAAGTCTAGAAATTTAAATTCCATGGGATAGTGCTAATGACAAAATAGTAGTAGACCCTAAATTGTGAATTTCAATTTTGAATTTCAAATTTTGTTTTGTGTTTTATTTTTTTGAGACGGAGTCTCGCTCTGTCGCCCAGGCTGGAGTGCAGTGGCGCGATCTCGGCTCACTACAAGCTCCGCCTCCCGGGTTCACGCCATTCTCCTGCCTCGGCCTCCCGAGTAGCTGGGACTACAGGCGCCCGCCACCACGCCCGGCTAATTTTTTGTAGTTTTTAGTAGGGATGGGGTTTCACCGTGTTGGCCAGGATGGTCTCCATCTCCTGACCTCGTGATCCGCCCACCTCGGCCTCCCAAAGTGCTGAGATTACAGGCGTGAGCCACCGTGCCCGGCCTCAAATTTTGAATTTCAAAATTTAGGGTCTACTACTATGATTGTCACGAGATATAGTCCAAATTTCATTCCTACAAATATGTGTGCAGACACACACACACACACACACACACAGATTTTATCTGGATATCCTCTAGTTGCTTTAATTCTTTCTAAATAGTCATCTAAATCCTGATGAAGCAGGAGATAGGTTTAGTGATGGTTTCAATGGAATGCTATCGAAAATTTTCATTTTGTTTTTTTTTCACATCAGAATCAATAAATGTTAGCCAACTCTCCTGCTTAATCGTCCCATTGAGAATATATTTTATTTCTTAGTGTCTGTGCCTAATATAGCCTGTTTATATGACCACACTAGAAGCTTGAGATCTAGTCCTACTTATTATTTCTTCATTTAGATGTATTTCCAGTAAACGTAATTAAATTCAAGCTCTCAGATATTTCTTTCATTAACCATTTATTCTCCCTTTCTGTTATCAGATACAGATTCAGCAATTAATTTCCTGATTAATAACAATTGCTATGAAAGCATCATTCAGTCCACTAAGTTGCTGTGTTTCTAGAAGATTTGATTCAAAGGTTTGTTCTTATTTCTGGCTTCAATATCCATTGTTAAGTCTTGCCCTAGGGTAGACCACAAGAGATTTAGAGCAACTAAACTATACTAAATTGGTTATAATTCAATGTAGTTTAATATACAAGGAAATGGATAATCTATTTACCATCCAACTCAAAAGAAGAAAGAAAAAGAGAGTGAGAGTGCAGGTCATTTTATAGGAAAGGAATGTTTTTAAGAACCTATCAAAGATTCTCTCAGTCAGTAGATAGATGGTATGCAAAACTCTGCTTGATAAAAACATTGCAAAAGTGTTTTTGTACTTTTTTTGAGTTTACATCTCAAAACCTGCTCACTTTCGGGTGTGGTGGCTTACGCCTATAATCTCAGCACTTTGGGAGGCTGAGGTGGGTGGATCACAAGGTCAGGAGTTCGAGACCAGCCTGACCAACATGGTGAAATCCCGTCTCTACTAAAAAAAAAATACAAAATTAGCTGGGTGTGTTGCCGGTCACCTGCAATACCAGCTACTCAGGAGGCTGAGGCAGGAGAATCACTTGAACCCAGGAGACGGGGGTTGCAGTGAGCTGAGATTGCGCCACTGCACTCCAGCCTGGGCAATAGAGCGAGACTCCGTTTCCAAAAAAAAAAAAAAAAAGGACACTTTATTGGTACGCATTCATGACTGTGCATACATACTTAAAGTTAATAACCACTCTAATGGGCATAGAAACTTTCTGAAAATAATGACTATATTATGAAGGACAAATACAGTACAGTTTAAGGAATCTTGCTTAATAAATATTTAAGGGTTTCATTGCCATTTCTAGAAGTTAAACAGAACAAAACACATTGTAAATTCTAAACTATTCCTGCAACATGATTTTCCATGAATCTACAACATACCGTATTCATTTTATAGATATCATCATCCTCTTTTCAGTAATTGAAAGTATTTTCCACAATACTGAGTCAAGTGGCGATATGAATATGACAGGTGTGAGCTCCAAGTCGTAATGCATCTTTTTCATATATAATATTTTTTATTTCAAAGTTTTTGGGGTACAAGTGGCTTTTGGTAACATGGATGAATTATACAGCAGTGAATTATGAGATTTTGGTGTATCCATCCTGCAAGTAGTGTACATTATTTCATCTTTGCCACTTCCTAGCCAAGTGATTTTGGAAAAGCTGATAAACTTTTTATGCCTCATTTTTTTAATCCATAGAACGAGGACAACCATAGTATTTAGCCTGGCAACATAGCAAGATGCCGTCTCTACAAAAAAAACATGAAAAACAAATCAGCTGAGTGTCATGGCATGCGCCTCTCGTTCCTGCTACTCAGGGGCCTGAGGCAGGAGGATAGCTTGAACCCTGGAGAGTTCAAGGCTGCAGTGAGCTATGATTGTGCCACCGCACTCCAGCTTGGGTGATAGATGGAGACCCTGTCTCTAATAAAAAGAAAATGCATAGTATTTATTTTATAATGTCGTGGCAATGAGCAAATACAGGTAAACCAGTCACAGTAAAATCTCAATAAACAAGGTGATTAGCTCACTACACATCTACATAAAACATAATAAAACAAAACAACTTTATTTCCTATTTTCCTTCCCAAGCTCCAGGCGTTTCACTTCCAATTTTGGAGTGAACAATTAAGTTAATTACTTACTGTGATTTCACATTACCTACGTTTGACTCAGCTGTCTATCTCCATAGCCTCTGTGGTGTTCGAGTTCCCTCAGTGTGTCACCTTTCTCATTGTCTTAGGAGTTTTCACTGCAGGAGACTCTGCAGTTACGGAGCCCACAGCACTGAGTAGGTCTCAGCCAATGTTTGGTTTGGCCAGCAGCAGAGTACTGACATCATGTTTATTATCCCAACCTCACTTTGTTTAATTACATATTTGTAAAAGAAAACAAATACTGAAGATATATATAAAAATTCTGTGTCGAAGGGCATTATTTCTACATTATGACTCCTTTCATTTAAACATACAGACATTTGGTACCAAAAAGAAAATATATTTGAGCCTTTTGGATTCATTTATTTGGGGGTGAGGTGGGACACTTTTATTTCAGTGTCATCTGTTTTCTCGATTTTGTAAAACTAAATGGTTCCATGTTTATTTGTATGGTTGAATAAACATCATAATGCAGGTGCAATGCCCAGTTTCAGGCAGTAGAGCATCTGTACTTAAAAGACCATCAGATTTGTATTAAGCTGTTGAAATTTGACTGCATAGTTAGGATCAGACGTTGCTTCAAGGTACAAGAATGAAGCAAGTCAATCTTTAACAACGTTTCTCTCTGTCATGGAGGCAGCTACTGTCTTTAAGAGCAAGGACAAACACAATTTTCACTTTGTTAGAATTCTGGGTCATTCTCCCTGAGCTCTTTATATCAAAGCAATGGCATCTCTGGTCCTAGATACAAGCTCTAATTGTTTCTCCTTTTAGAAAATCATTTTTCTCTGCCGGGCGCGGTGCCTCTTGCCTGTAATGCCAGCACTTTGGGAGGCTGAGGCAGGTGGATCAGTTGAGGTCAGGAGTTCCAGACCAGCCTGGCCAAGATGGTGAAACCTCATCTCTACTAAAAATACAAAAATTACCTGGGCGTGGTTGCATGCGCCTGTAATCCCAGCTACTCAGGAGGCTAAGGCAGGAGAATCTCTTGAACCCAGGAGGTGGAGCTTGAAGTGAGCCGAGATCGTGCCATTGCACTCCAGCCTGGGTGACAGAGCAAGACTCCGTCTCAAAAAAAGGAAAAAAAAAAAAAAAAAAAAGAAATTGTTTTGCTCTTTTCTTCCCTATTCTTAGGCTTCTGAACTTTTTTTGTTGTTGTTGCTCTCTATCCTTGCAACTCCTCATTTCAATGTTGAAACAACTGAGAGGTGAAGTCTTCGTAAATATAATCTAGAATTGCTAGATAAAATAAGAGGCCCAGTTAAATTTGAGTTTCAGATAACAAATGATGTTTTAGTGTAAGTATGGCCCATGCAATTCAAATTTGACTTGGTGTACTGTGTTTTTATTTGCTAAATCTGGCAAGCCTAATCTCATATCTAGTTATTGAAACACGTTTATAAAGCAGAATGATGTATAAAAAAATCTGAGTTCAAATATGTTCACTTTTATTTCTTCGCACCATGCAAAACTGCCGACTGTCCTCTTGGATTTGAATTTCCTTCTTTTCCTGATTTTTTCATCGCTTTGTAAATGTTTTTCTTTGACTTTCTCTCCTCCTTACAATGCAATCGACTTTATCATTGTTTCTTCAGTGTCCTGATTCTTTTATTCTACCTCAACATCTTTATTTCCCCATTCATTCTTCTTTGTGAAAAAAGAATTCCAAAATGCTTATTACCTCAGTATTTTCTCTGACACAAGTTTGTTAAGAAATACTCAAATTTTTAATACAGGTCTTTGTTCTACTGAAAAACATTTCCTTTGCCAAGTTTAGACTACATTAAGGACAAATATCATTGCTGTAGTCCATGCACCCAGAACTCTGTAATAAATAGTAGTACCCGCTTCTTCTTTACATGTGTCCAGTTCTGTAACTTCTATTTGGGAATTTTTGTTTAATTATAATCCATGTGTATATTCCTTGAAATCTGTGGTAGTATGACAGAAAACGAGTCTTCATTTGGCTGGTAGATTCTCTAGCCTTTCCCTTTTCAGATTATTTTGCATCTTATTGCCAGCTTTTTAAAAACTGGTACCCCGATCGTTTTGCTGCCTGTACCTCAAAGTTTTCCTTATCGCTCTTTTGATCAAATATAAACTTTAAATTCTTCCATTTATTATTTCTTCTTTGACTCGCAATATACCCCATTCTAATTTGGAACTATTTAAAAATAAGGCTGCTAACTAGAAGTCTCTGCACATTTCTCTACCCATCCCAAAAGTTTGGTCCACTCTACCTTCCTCCTAAGTAAAAAGTTAACAATTCTCCTTTCCTTACCATTAACTTTTTAAAATCACTTATGAGACACTGACTTTGATCAACCCATTGATCTTTTTTCAGGCTACCATTCTTATGTACTTTAACATGTTTTGATGAATTTGTGGTCATTATAAGTATTGAATGTTGTATTCCACACTATGCTTTGCATTTTTTTTTTTTTTTTTTTTTTTTTTTTTGAGAGGGAGTCTTGTTCTGTCGCCAGGCTGGAGTGCAGTGGTGCGATCCTAGCTCACTGCAACCTCCGTCTCCTGGTTTCAAGTGATTCCCGTGCCTCAGCCTCCCAAGAGCTGGGACTACAGGGGCCCACCACCACGCCCGGCTAATTTTTTTGTATTTTGGTAGAGATGGGGTTTCACCATGTTGGCCAGGCTGGTCTCGATCTCCTGACCTCATGATCCACCTGCCCTGGACTCCCAAAGTGTTGGGATTACAGGTGTGAGCCACCGCACCCGGCCTGCTTTGCTTTTTTAAATGTTGCAAATTAGAATTCTTTTGGTTATCTTATCTAATTTTCTATTTTTATGTTATGTGTCAGATAGTCTGGACTTACAGGAAGACCTGTCCTCTTCCAGCACGCACCCTTCCTCCTCCCCCATCATTCCCAATTCACATGACTTTCTAACTTTCTAATTGGGTGCTTTTTAATATTCATGAGCACAGGTTTTAGGTCACACAGCTTTTTATAATTATGGGAAAAGTAAAGGTAAATAGTGGGTGGGTACTCAAGGAGCTCACCTACAAATCAACTTGATTCAATCTATTTAATCTATTGCTTATGTTCTGATTTTTCATCAGTGTCCTGGTCATTGCTTAACAATGCAAAATTTGTGGATAAAAATATTCATGTTAGGTGAAGCTCACTGACTAGCCTACAAATCAGTGTCACCAATTTTGATACATTTTATCCACATCTCCATTATCTGGTTAACATATCATTTTGCAAAATATTAAAAGATCTTCAGGTCACAAAGGGCTGTCATGAACAAAGTTTCTTCTTTTTTTAAATAAACTGAACAGTGTTACTATCTAGTTGGCACCAAGGACACACTAAAATTGTAATTTATAATTATGGGGTTTTTCCTCACAGAAATAAAAATAAATAGGTCTTATTGAAGACATAGACAGTTTTGCTTCTGTGAAGATTTCTCCTTTACACATAATCAGTCTGACTTTTCTCACTCGTTTCTGCCTGAGGTGGAGGTGGGGACTCCATTCTTGACTTAATAAATCTAAATTCTTCAACTGTCATTCTCTCCCAAGACACTTCACCCTTTGGGGACTATGCTGCATTTTCCCATTCTTGCTCTTTGTACATTTCATCCTGGGTCTGGCAAGACCTATTTCAAATATACAAAGTTATCTGATACACACAGGAACCCAACCTACTCTCCACAGAGTGTGGAAGGGTTAAAGAAAAGCCACTTCTGAACATCTCCGCTTTATCAGCTCCCGTTGGGAGATCAGGGGCCAGCAGCCTTCATTAGCCAATAAAAAGAAAATGACGTTTCTTTGCAAGGAGTAGACTTTACTAAGCACCCTATATGTTAAAAAAATATATATTAAATGTTAGTTTTTGTCTCCAAAATAGATATATAATTCTCAGATTTCCTTGTAATTTTCTCTTAATGGCTGATTAAATCTTGACAATATAAAGCAGTCCAGTCATCCACCCATTCACTGGACAAATATTTCTTCCATGTAAATGCCAGGCACCAGTTTAGGTCCTGATGATACACCAATGAACAAGAAAGATGAAGTGATGATCCACCAGGAACTTACATTTTAGTGGGAGAGATACACATAACAAATAGGTAGATGATATGATAAGCAGGGTAAGTAGATGGAGAGCAGATTTTTAAGACTTCTGTGAGCTAAGACCTGATTGAAGAGAGGTTGTAATTTTGTGGTGTCAGCATGATCAGGCCAAGTAATCACTTCCTATTGCCCATATATTTTTTAATCATTTGTTTAAAAATATAATGCAAAGAGATAGTTCTCAGACTGTTTTCTCATATAGAAGATACTTATTTCTTAGATTCTTAGTACTACTCATTTTAATAAGCTATATGAGTCCACAACATTAAAAAATTTACTCTAGAAAGTAAAGCTGGGTAAAGTGACCTCAGTGTAGAAAACTTTTATTATATGGCCACAAAAGGCACTGAAAACGAAATTTCTAGAGGGCCTTAGGGGATTAAAAGGGAAATGTTTAGAAGACATTAAACCTCTGGAGGTTTAATTTTGCAACTTCCCCAAATACTTAGACGACTTCAAAAATAATTTTGCTTTTGTCTAAACTCAGAAATTATATTGTTCTTTTTTGCCCTTGCTGGCCCTCAGAAGAGTATTAATTCTCATTTTGGGAAGGAATTATTTTAATCATGCCATTAAATGAGAGGAAAATATCCCTTTTCTAAAAAAATAAAAAATTAAAAATAAAAACCTCGGTGTAAAGTGGAATTCTCTAGAGAATGCATTGTGCACAAAATGACCTTCCTCAGTGTATTACTGGGATGGAGGGAGTCGTCTCTCTGTGGGGTAGCAAATAAGCCCTGTGGCCCCCTCAATCCACCTCAGCCTCCACAGAGCATCAGTTGCTGTTTCATCCCGGGTTGGTCCAGACAGCCACTGCCAGTCCACTAGAGGGAGCACTTGAGAGGAAACCCATTTGCTTTCATTGATCTAGATCTCAAATAAAATTTCATCTTAGAGGCTGGGCGCGGTGGCTCATGCCTGTAATCTTAGCACGTCGGGAGGCCAAGGTGGGTGGAGCACGAGGTCAGGAGTTCAAGACCAGCCTGGCCAACCTGGTTGAAACCCCCATCTCTACTAAAAATACAAAAGTTAGCGTGGCATGTTGGCAGTAAGCTGAGATCATGCCACTGCACTCCAGCCTAGGCAAAAGAGTAAGACTCTGTCTCAAAAAAAAAAAAAAAAAAAAAAAATTTCATTGTAGAATAAAATCCAATTCCTTTCAGCTTTTATCTTCAAATTTTGGTCATTGTTTGCATTAGTCATTGTTCTTCAGGAAAACAGAACCAATAGGATATATGTATCTGTGTGTGTGTATACACATATATATGCACACATGTATATATTTATATATACAAATATATGCATGCATATATATTTACATATACACATATTTACAATTCTGTAAAATCTTATATATAAATAAGACTCACACATACACATATAACGTGCATATATATATACACATATATATGGCATATATATATATACATATATATGGCATATATATATATACACACATATATATGGCATATATATGAGATTTATTTTAAAGAAGTGACTCATGTAATTATGGCAGATAGCATATCCAAAATTTGCAGGTGGGCCAGCACGTTGGAGGCCCAGGGAAGAAAGACTACTGCAAATCAAATCTGAAGGCTTGTCTGCTCACTAAATATCCTCTTGCCTGGGGAGGTCAACCTTTGGTTCTGTTCAGGCCTTCAGCTGATTGGATGAACTCTCCTCCCTCTACCCTCACCTCAATAAGAAGGATGTCTTAGTTTCTCCAGGCTTCTATAACAAAATAGCATGCAACAGAAATGTATTTCTCACAGTTCTAGAGGCTGGGCAGTCCAAGCTGCTGGCAGATTCAGTGTCTGGTGAGGTCCCATTTCTTGGTTAGTAGAGAGTTGTCTTTTTGCTGTGTCCTCATACGATGGAAGAGGCAAGCCAATTCTCTGGGCCTCTAAGGGCATTAATTACACTCATGAGGGTTCTGTTCTCATAATCTAATCGCCTCCCAAGAGTCCTGCCTCCTAATATCACATTAGTGACTAGGCTTCCACATATGAATTTTAGAGGTACGCAAACATTCAGATCATAGCAGAAGGTGATTTGCTTTACTAAAAATCAGCAACTTAAATGTAAATCTCATCCTAAAATAACCTCACAGAAATATCCAGAGTGATGTCTGACCACCATGGCCTAACCAAGTTACAAGATAAAATCAAACATCATGCTGTTTCTGTATAGTGACACTAAAAATAGTTGCTAAAAACTTGTATGACAAAATAGAAAAATGAAAGAAAGGCAAATTATTTTGGAAAGTTACAGTAAAGAACATAATCTAAACCCAACAAAAAAGTTTCTGAGACTCAATCACTGAACAGAGTTGGAAGAAGCTTTTATTCACTTCATTCCACTGTATTTAACAAGTCTCTACTTCAGTCCCTGTGGGGTTTCTAATATTATAAAAAGTAATATCATAGGTTATAAAGATTTAGAAAGAGTGCTTCTATTTTTGAAATCAATAATCCAGCTAGGACATATTTTCTAGATATTATTATAACATTTTTACATTAAAGATAATTTCTTGTTATTTGAATTTTATTTCCCCTCTCCTCGGGGTTCTTAGTAATACAAATGAGTAAAATTGCTTTCAGTAGGATGCTAGACACATTGTACTGTTTGCAGGTCTGCTAAACAACAGAATCAAGTCACCTCCTTGGCAGGTGACCAGCATTAACTATAATGCCCATCAAAACAGTCAATAAGAATCACAGATCTGTGGCACCATAGAATAATGGCCTAATTAATCTCTGTTCAATTTCCATTTTTATACCTGCTCCCAGATTCCCATTATTTCTTATCTATGAGTTCTTTTCTCATTTGAAAACATCTTCTATGGATTTTCCTTCATTCAATCAGTTGTTTTTACATTCATTCATGTTTGCATTCAAAGATATTTACTAAGAACTTAGTATAGGTTATACATTTATGAATATTATTCAAACACTGAAGATAAAGATTGACTGATTACCACAGTGGACAGAGATACATTGCTGTTAAAAAAATCTGAGTCCTTTAAAAGTTTTTTGTTTATCATTTGCAAGAGTATATGGAATACTGAAGTTTCTTCTAATAATATCAAAGGAATAGTTAAAATGCCATAGGGACTAAATGTTACATATGTAAAGTAACATAGCCATCTGGTCTGTTTCATTCTTATTTCCTTAGGAGAAGAGTGTTAAGCATGCTCTAAAACATTTATTGAGGGCACGTTTTATGCTTACGTTTAGGTTCAGTTTTAGGTATATAGAAATTTTAAAAGGAAAAGGAAAAAAATTTTTAAAAAAAGGTATAAGGGGATGATAAAGAGGAGGCCAGAAAGAAAAGAAAATACAGTTTCTCTCCTTTCAATTCCTTACCATTACTTTACCATTCTTGTGTGGAAGTGGGAGGGCGTATCCACAGAGGGGTAGAAATAGGCAAATACCACATAAAAGGGATAATTGCAGGTTGGATAACCGCACACATTGGAACCAAAACTGCTTCCGAAAAGGTTATAGGATTTAGATAGTGCCAAAGACTAAGTCTGAAACACATTTAAAATAGTTGTTTATTTACAAAATTTGGCACAGGTCCCCGTCTATTGCTACTTTTCTGTCAACAGAGGTTTAAAGTTTTTAGCAGTGAAAGTTTTATATAGTTAAAAGAGACTGAGACAATCTCTGGAAAGCATTTTATTACCATGGGATTCCCTTTTTTGTGTGTGGAAGTGGGAGACCTCCTAATTGGTGTTCAGGTACACTTCGCAGTCTTGGTTGAGTGCAAGGAGGCAAGTGAGCAGCATGGAGACATTCAAAGACAGGAGGATTGTCCTGGGTTAGGGTCAGTGGTATTTTCTCCATCCAGCTATTTTCTGTAACAAAAGGGTTTGATGAGTTACTTTTCTTGTGACCAAACTCTCTTAATAGTCCCTTATGGGGCCGGTGGCTGTCATGGCAGTTTGTCATTAGTAAAGAAGTTGAGACTACTCTAGTTTGGCAAACAATATGAATAAAGTGACAAGGTGATGATGAGCATGCCCATAGTCTTGCTATTTAAACAATGATTATTAGGCCACTCCAGTGAAAGATAATGAGAAATAGAACTTCTGCTTACAGAAGATGAATTTTGAATGCCTAAGGTTTAAATTTAGATTTGATGGGATAGAACTTTGCATATTATTTACATGGTTTTGAAAACAGGCATGAAGAGAGAACAAGGTTGTAAGGAGCTTAGGACAGAAGAGACCAAGCTGTCTTATAATTGAGTCAGGACGAAGCACAGGAATGTTACTTTGAATCAATGCTGGCCTTAATGGTCCACTGATCTATGGGAGAAGAAAAAAAACTTGATATTTAAGCATTGGTGGAAAACACACACACACATACAAAATTTCTGAATACCAGAGACTGAGGGAAATTTGTACCCAACCTAATTAGTTGAAAATACAAAGCAAGTTTCATCAATATAGCTTGTATAGGGTTAAGAAAAATACTTAAGCATTACATGATTGCTGTAGGAGCCCATTTTTTGGAAAATTTCCAGGGACTCTTTGAGTCAACTTGTTAAAAACAGAAGAAAGGCTAGGAAAGAAATAGCTTGTTTTATGCCTGTGATTATAGGATTTCATCATTATGTGGGCCACTGAGTGTTATTTTCTCAAGTTCATGCATATGCAGAGATTTAAACTAAATTTGTGTTCTACTCACCACGTTAAGAGGCACAAGTTATCAAAGTTACTACCAATACATTCTATTCCCCCGAAAGACATTCAAACCATAATTCTCTCAAGTTAAAAAAATTAATATTTTGTAAAGTAACCATTGTCCCTCTTCTCAATATAATCCAAGTGCTAACACCTTTGAACACACCAACAATGGTCTCTTGATTAAAAAGAAACCACATTAGGAAAGTCCTTTGAATAACATAAATTGTCTCCTATAATAAAGGAAGACATTGGAGGTAAAAAAAAAAAAAAAAAAAAAGGTTTCAGCACCAATCTTCAATCTCTCTCTCACACCACAGAAGATTCAGAGCTGGAGTTGGGAAATGCAGTGGACTTGGGTAAACTGAGGTTTTCAGTCTTCATACTAGTCAGAGGTCATAATTGATTGAGTCCAGTTGTGATATAACTTTGGGCAGTAATTTTAGTCAATTGCTTCCTACCAAAGTTCCGTGCTCTTTGCTGGAGGCTCCGTTTCTGAAAAGCTCTCCCTCTGCCCTTCTTTCTTTTTCTCTGCACACACAACCCTCACGCAGCTTTCATGCTGCCTAAATCAGCCTGTGGATTAGGTATTTTCTCATTATCCAGATTAAAAGACAGCTCAGTCTCACAGAGATGTAACTGACTATTTGATTGAAACTGACTTTTTTCCCCATTGGAGGCACATCAGAATCACCTGGAAACTTTAAAAATTCTAATACCAGACCATAGCCTTCCAATTCTGATTGCGTGGATCTGAATGGGGTAGTTCCCTGGTCTTACTCTTCACAAGCTCCCCATGTGATGTTAACATCAGCCAGCAGAGGCTGCGAACACCCATAAAAACAAATCCAGATATGTTAATAGATGTTAGGGAAAGTGGGAGAAGAGGGGGTGGTGGATTTGCAAATGTTAAACTTGTTACCCAAATAACCTCTCCAAGTAAAACTTTTGGAAGGATAGTTTTGATCAAGAGAACCTGCCCCTTTTTGGATCTCTTTCACCTGCAAGGAGAAAAAAAGTGAGAAAAGGAATCAGCTTTTTATAATAAAAAAAATGCAGATGGAGATTCCGAAGTGGCTCTTCAGCGTGAGGATCGAATTTTTACAGGGAAATTCCCTCTGAAATCCTTCTAGAAATTCCTGCTATATCATCTCCCACTTACATAATCATTGCCCCTTATCCACTAAGCACCCCCCACCCCCCCATCTGACAGTCTTGTCAACCTCATGTGTCTGGATTCTCAGTCTTAGTACAGTCCCTCTTTCGGGGGAGGGAGAGCTTTGGAGTTTGGAGGAGAAGGAGGAAAAGTGTGTGTCTGGCCTGAAGGTGATGATCTAAAAGAAGTTTCCACTGAAGAAACACATCTGGGTGTTTCACAATGTGGCTCCTTGTATCATCTACATCACTTGGAAACTTGTTAGTAATGCAGATTCTCAGACCTCACCCTGGACTTACAAAATCAGCAATGAGGGGCTCCGGCTGAGCAGTCTGTCCGAGCAAGTCCTCCAGGTGATTCTGGTGAATTCCAGTGCAGGCTAAAGTTTGAGAACTACTGGCTATCTCATGTTTTCTCTTGAGCTTCTCTTACCAACCTTGGGTTGCTTTGTTCCTGTTTGTTTTATAGAGCTTTTCTTTATAGAGCACCCTTGGCATAAGTAGCTCCATCTTAGAAAAAGACTCCATCTTACATTTTAAAAGCCATCATGCCAACAGGGACCAGGTGTTCGGCTAACCAATAGAGACTGCACCCAACCAGATAAGGACATAATCATTCACACCCTTTCACTATTAGTCCTCGCTAGAGGACTCTGTGGCCATAAAAAAGAGCAGGATTTCACCAATTGGAAACTGCTGTCTTAGCAGACACCATCTTTCTGTCCCTTGTGATAAGTACCCAGCATCCCCTGCCGAAGACTCTGCCCACATTAAAATCTCTTCCTTGCAAGACCCTGATGGACCACCTGGATCAGGACGAGGCATTGTTTGGTCCACATTGCTCTCTCTGAACTGGTTTGTTAACCCTTTTTTCCTATCTCCTTTATCTTGATGTTAAATGTTACTTTGTTGTGGAATGTTTAGTCAAAACAGATAGGTAGGTAGGTAGGTAGGTAGGTAGGTTATGTGTGGTTTGCAATATTGTCTGACCTGTGGAGTGACTTGAGCTTGTGTGCCTATGGCTCTGCCAAGTGAATGGGTAGCACTAAAGAGAATTACCTCCTCTGGAGCTTCAGGTAGCTCATGGCTTTGATGATTGAAATAGCATTGGTGAAAGTCTGACATTATGGAAAGACACAAATATTTGTGGACTTGGTCATGTCTGACTGTGCACTGCTCATGATACCTTCCTATTACTTCGCCTAGAGCCTGAATGGGAAAGGGAGAGGCAAGCAACTGACCAACTAGCAAACAAATAAAATGAACCTACTGTGAACAGAAAAACTATTTCTGCCCATAGTAGTGGCTTATTGCAGATACTTATCTTCAGTTTAAAGTTATCTTTGAGTCTCTATGTTTGTAGCTGGAAAGATGCAGATGTTTTAAATCAAGAAAGTTGGACAAGTTTGTTCCTAATATTCCTTCCAAGTTTAATTCAATGGATATATGAGTTTGGGGATTAATAAAAAAAAACAGCAAGGAGTAAGAATCTTTGGGAATATAGGAAAAAGTGCTGTATTCAACTGGGAAATATCTACATATTTAAAGACAACTTCTCAGAGAAGATGATTATAAGCCCACATTATGTTTTATTTCAAACGTGCTGTTGGATGAAAAGTTGCTGAATAAGCTGAATTCAAGATTCTCCCCTAGGTAGAAACATTTGGGTGAGGGGTGGTGGGGAGAGGTCATACAATGAAGAATTGTCTGGTTAAAGATTAGGCTACTTGTAAGATGGATTAAAGATGTAGGCAAGTTTCAAAACTGATAGTCAGCTGAGTGGATCTTCCCAGAAAGGATCTTTAAGTATCATGAGAGTTTATCAGAAAATTGCTCAAGTGTTTTATTAGGAATTCTAATTATTTTCAGGAAGGGCTGTGAATTACATCTTGCAAAAAAGCTCTGTCTCCCAACAGGTTTGGTGACATTTATTTTTTCTCAGTTTCTAGTCTCATCTCTTCTCACATTTTATCTTTTGTTCACTTTTAGTAAGTAATTTTAACTTCCTGGATTTCAATTGCTTCCTCTATAAAGCAGGGATAATAATTTCATACCATAATGAAATAATAAGGCTAGAAAAATAATTTTTCTTTTAGACTGTTCCAAGTTTTGTAACTGACTAATCTAAATTATGCATTGGGGGGAAGGTGATATGAGATGTGCTTTTCAGTCCTTGGATTCGATACTAATTATAATACCAAACTCATGGTAGATTGATTTATTCTGTCACATATCTATCAAACATTTGCAGTTTCTGCTGTTATGTATGCTTTATGCATTTTACAAAAAATCATCCCAATTACACAATTACTCTATGATGTAGGTACAAGAATTATCCCCATTTTATAGATGATAAACCTGAGACACTGAAAGTTTAAATAGCTAGCTTACACTCAACAGTGTGGTATGTGGTTTGTGGCAGAGGCTGGATCTGAACTCAGGAAGCCTGCCTCTTGTGTTCAACAAACAATTCACTAGTTGATATCCTGTCATTCCACTTGATTCTCCAAAAATAAGGTTGGGCCTTGTCAAGGATCAAATGAAGACTGGTAATCCTAAAGAAGTTGAACTTCAGAGAGCCTCAGTGGGAGAGAATAACATGCCTAGTCCAGGTCGTTAAAACTTAGATTATTTTCTTACATAGTATTGGCTACTGCCCGTTCTGATGCTTGTACATTTCTGTTACGGTCCTCGGTCTCTGGATTGAACCTTATCCACTAGATTGGAGCATAGGCACTGTGATTCACCATGTTATTCTGGAATCTAATATAGAAAATGACCCAGAAGCACCATTTTTAACAAACCTGGGTTCCCTAGCCACGTAGAAGCATCAGCCAGATCCAGCTGGAGCCAATCCTGCTGATTAGCTTAACAGGTTCTCTGTTTTTTTTTTTTTTTTTTTTAGAAAAAGATAAAATGTTACAAGATAGAACATCGTCTTATTGCTTCTTTTGTTTTATTGCCCCTGCCATTTTCTTAGAGCATTAAAAAGAAATCACTTTCTCAGATGGTATGAGGATGAAAGGATCCACATTGGGAACAGGAAACCAAAGATCTCTGAAGATTTTGAAAGCAGAGAAAGAATAACCAGGTGTACATAATGATAACTAGGAAATACAAAACCGCTGTGAGCAAAACTGTTTCTTCCAGTTTGGGAGGCTCCAAAGTGAATCCCGTGATCTTAGACACAGAGATCAGGTTAAAAGAGCCTTTCTTCCAGGCAGCCTGCTGCTGCATGATGCTCATCATTCCACATCCTGAACAATCCTCAGGCTTCAGGCTGGACGAGTGGTCTCTAGGTACCACTGTGTACTTAAGAGTGCCATTTTCTGAGTGCATCTTCTGTGCCAAGCACTGTGCTGACATAGTATCTTATTGGCAACTCTTAATCTTCTATGGCATCAGTCTTATTCCTATTTTAGTGACAAGGGCCCTCTTTTGTAAGTAACTTCCTCCAGCCCCACAGTAAGTGCGAAAAATGGGATTCATTCCTCTGACTCTTTGAATCCAACCCAGTGCTTGGGTGTCTTCAAGTATCTCTGAATTCCTGACCTCTGGGATTCAGTGATTTTTATGGCATTCATGTGATTTCTGTGGTGAGTTCCCTCCACCCCCAACTCCACAGGGCCTGTCTGTGAAAATGAAAGATACCAGTCAGGGTGCAAGACACAGTCTGTTCTCATGGAGTCAGTGAAAACTTCATTGTATTTGAAAGACCCTCTGATCACCAGAAGGTCATTCTTGCTCGCCTTTTCCTTGACTATAAGGTTCTATAAGTTTTTTCGTAATGCCACTTACAATAATACAGTATTTACAATTACATCAGAATGACAAAAACACAGTTTACAGGAGTTAGCACCTCCAAAGCATGACAATAATAGGAAAAATGTATCACCAAGTACTAGTATAAAAATAAAATTCTCTATAACCAATAATGTTGAATCAGAGAGCCATTTTGAACTAAAGAAGTTTTTGATTCCCTTGTGTTAACTTTAAACAAACTTTTTTGGTTGATTTTTTTTTTCTATTCATTCCTTCTGTATAAGAAATAATGGAGAAATGTGTTAAACTTTTAGTTAAATGTGTGTCAAAGTTTAATATAACCATATGGTTTTTCCTAGTTTTGGTTATATATGGGAAATAACATTTGATTCACTCGAATAACTTTACAGTTGACCGGGCTTGCTTATGTTGGTGAATGTATTTAAGCTCATTCAAAACATACAGCTTGACATCTTAGAATCTGAGGAATGACTTTAGGCAACAGTTAAGCCAATTTTTAAAATTCTCATTGGGGGCACTGAATTGAAACGCTGTAATCTTCTCTAGAACTATCTTCTATTTCGTGTTTCAGCAAAGACTTAATTGTTCTTTGAAGAATTTCTTACTCTAAAAATCGTAGCAATTTATATTCCAAAGAAATACAATTATCTTGCTCAGAAAAGAGAAGAAATGTAGAATTGCCTTTATTTCTAAGTTATAATTGCAATCATGTATTGGCAGCACATGTGAACAACTTAGATATAAAATTATGATGGGGAAAAAACCTGCAGCAAGAAGCAAAGTGTGCATAGATAATGATCCTCTGCCAAGTAAAATGAGTTCTATTTATGTATTTGTTTAGGCATATTAAGTGTCTAGAGCAGCAGTAATGTGAACTTTACCTTTTTGGTTGTTTACCTTTTTCAACACCTATCAATGCTGTATTGGTAAATATTACATACACACACACACACAAACACACACAGTCTTGCTCTATCCCCAAGGCTGAAGTGCAGTAGTGGAATCTCAACTCACTGCAACCTCCACCTCCAGGGTTCAAGCAAACTTCCCACCTCAGCCTCCCAATTAGATGGGACTACAGGTGCATGCCACTACGGCTGACTAATTTCTGTATTTTTGGTAGAGACAGGGTTTCACCATGTTGACCAGGCTGGTCTCGAACTCCTGACCTCGAGTGATCTGCCCGCCTTGGCCTCCCAAAGTGCTGGGATTACAGGTGTGAGCCACCATGCCCGGCCAAATATTATATGTTGTACGCATTGGGTACTATGTATTTTAAAGTCAATTATGTTTAACTTTGCTCTTATTCTATAATTTTGCACCTCTGGAGGTAAAGTTACCATGCCATATAAAAAAAATGGAGATAAAAGTAATACATTTTACGATAAAACCACTCTTCCTTTTGTTTTTATATAAATAATAGGTAGAGGTCTCTGTACATATTTTATTTCTATGTTTGTTTGTTTATTTGTTTATTTATTGAGCCTTCGTCACCCAGGCTGGAGTACAGTAGTGCAATCTCCAGCTCACTGCAACCTCTGCTTTCTGGGTTCAAGGGATTCTCATTCCTCAGCCACCAGAATAGCTAAGATTACAGGTGCACACCACCCTGCCCAGCTAACTTTTTTTGTATTTTTAGTAGAGACAGGATTTCACTACATTGGCCAGGCTGGTCTCGAACTCCTCACCTCAAGGAATCCCCCTGCCTTGGCCTCCTGAAGTGCTGGGATTACAGGTGTAAGCCACCACAGCTAGCCCATATTTTAGTAAGGAAAATGATGGGTGGCATGGGACTTTGAAAACTAAGACGATATACTTAGTGTTTTAAAATAAGATTTTGTTACTGATATAAACCACATTGAAGTGAGGAAGACTGGGTCATAGTCCAGCAAAGATTGCACCTTATTTTCTTAACACGCTAAAGTGACAGGCCCTATGGTTGGTGGGGAAGAAAGGCCTTGTGACCTAGAGGGAGAAAATGAGATCTTTCGATTCCCAGAGTGAGAGAGAAAGATGGACACTGTCTTTAGATTATAAAATTCAAAAAGCCTACCGAAGGGGTGTTGAGAGCTACACTTGAAGGGGGCTCTGTATTCATTTAGGGACATTTAACATTACAGCTTTCTGTCATGTTAGCATAGGTCACTAGGTGTAAAAATGGCATGATAAGCAATATGCGGGTGTTAAATGTAGGAGCAGTATGCAAGAGTATACAGGATAGAAAAAGCCCCTTGAGTCCAGAAAGCAGGCTTGAGTCAAGAGTGATAGCCTGGACTAAGTGGTATTAAAGAGAATAAAGAGGTAGAACAATAGAAAATAGCTCCCAAAGAAAAACTAGGCATACTTCATAAAATTACAGAAGCAGGGAACAGGATGACAAATGTGATCTACATTTGAAACCTGAGGACTAACATGTGAAGTTGCCTCTGAAGAGATGGTAAGGGAACCTGTCTGTGTGAGGGGAGTGGTGGGGAACAGGACAGTTAATGGACGCATTGAACTTGGTGTCATCTGCGTAATTCAAAGAAAACATGTAGTGGTGGGTGGAGGAAGATTTGGATATAATAAGTTGAGTCACAGGACTGACGTTGAGTGAAGGCTCCAGGAAAAAAAAAATACTAGGACTGACATTTTACTGATAATTTACAATTCTTAAGGGGGAAAAAGAGAAAAAAAATCAAGCATAGAAACAAAGGAATAATAATAGGTATTAGGAGAAAAAAGAAACACGTGGACTAAGTGAGAGAATTTTATGAAAGAAGGGATGCTGATAGGTTTTTGACAAAACGCTTGGGCATCAAGAGAATGAAAAGGCTTTGGTTTGGGGGAAAAAGTCTCATTGGTGGCTTTTGAGAATTCAGTTTTAGTAGAGAGATGGAGTTGTTTTAAGAGGAAGTAAATGGCTAATTGTAGAAGTGAGCTAGGGCAATGCCCATCAGGCAGTCTCTTGAGGTCCAGTGAAACATTGAGGTTTAGAAGGCAATTATTGATCACATTCAGAATCAGCTTACACAGAAGTCTGTTGAACAGGAAGCAAGTCTGCCAAGCAGGGCAACATCGAGTAATTCCTTTCAAAGGGAATCCTTGCAGCGGCCCACTCAGCAATCTAATCAGATAACCTAGGAGCACTCCTTTGGGGCTCCAGGTAACAGCTCAGGTGCAAGGAGACGAAATGCACAGTGGGTGTGTGCAGGACCTTCTGCCATAATAGCCTCCTTCTAACAAGGGGTATTCCTCTCATAAACATTCCTTAGGCACAAAACACACCAAGTTACAATACTTACCACATGTATGGAACTCCAAAACTACGGTACCGCCATCAGGCATTCATAATTTACTGGTATTTCTCCAATTCAAGTACAATTTATTTTTTAAAATGACGCTAGGAAATTGGGAGTCCACAGATCAGCATGAGCATGAATAAGGGACCCTCTGTGTGAAGGAAGTTAAGGATCTTTTCACATGGAGGGTGATAATGAAAACTTTAAGTGAGATGACTCACTATAGAATCCAGGCTTCATGAAAAATATGGAACTTGGGAAAATGTAATAGGTTGAGTGACTAGATCGATAGTGGAGGTTCAGAGGCAGATGGAGAGAGGCAACAGAACAGATTGCATCGTTTCAGTATTGAACAAAGTCTTAAGTACATAATGAGTGCAAATATTTGTTTGATTAAAATGAGTGCAAATGGGAGCACCAAGTTCAACATCTTAGTGTTTAGATGGGTGACATACAAGGATGATGATGGTTTGCTAAAGAAGTAAATAAGTACAAATAAAAACAATATAGAGACAGAGACGTTCAAAGTAATAGATGGCAAGAAACCACAGGAAATGCAACCCTGTTGGTGAAATCACTCAATCATCATGGAACAGTCTTGAGTAAAAATGAAATTGGTTATTAAGTGAATTTGTTTTTTTATTTTATTTTTAAATTATTTTTTAATTGATGCATAGTGGTACATATTCATAGAGTACATGGTGATATTTCAACACATATAATGTTTGGTGATCAGATCAGAGTAATTAGCATATCCAGCATCTGAAACATTTATTATTTCTTTGCATTAGGAGCATTCAATATCTTCCTTCTAGCAACTTGAAACTATATAACAATAAATATATATTAACTGGACTATCTCCATTAATGCTCTATGTAGCCATATCAGAAGTCCTTAGATTTTTTCCTTCACATTTTTTTTTGCTTATTTACAGCACAAGCACGTATGATTGCAGCACCCCCTAACTGTTCTCCCGTACTTGAAGAAATGTCCAGTCCCCTGAATGAACTCACCTATAACTGTATGATACCCTCTAAATCCAGCTATAAACTATAATAATCAGCTTATAGGTGAAAAAGAGTCGAAGATCAGGGGTGCAAATGAACATCGAGATGATCCAATGTAAACTCTGTTTTGTTGATGCGGAAACTGAGGCCTGGAGAGTTAAGTGACCTCCTAAACTTGCAGTTCTTGGTAACAGTTGTGAACATGAATTCCACGTCTAGTGCTCTAGACTAACCCATGCTGTCTTCAATAATTCCAGTGAAAAAGCATAGCAGTTTAGTCCTCCCAACACCAATGCATGTTCCCACATTCCCTTTTCTCAATCTGGATTGTTTTTTCCTGGATGAGTCATATGTTTCTTTATCAAATTCTAAAGCTTCAGAGTGAAAGCAGAGGCACAGCCATCCTATATGAATAAAGCAGATGGAAGTATGGGATGGTTTCATATGGAAGTCTACAGGTACAAGTCACATAACTATATTTTAAGTCAGCATCTTGTAATAGCTTCCTTCCAGTGTGCGTTATGGGTTGTAGCATGTTGTGGTCAGAAGACATGTATTTAAGTCTGTTCTCTCTAGTTTATCAGGTACCTGGCTGTAGGCATATTCACTTAACTTCTCTGGGTATCAGTTGAAAGATCATTATATCTAACTGTCAGAATAGTTTTGAGGATGACATAAGGTTAAAATGTATAAAATCATGAGACATTTTCCTCAGTACATTTGTTTTCTCTTTTTACTTTTCCTCCAATTCTGCTATCAAAGCTCTGGAATGTATTACCAATACATCTGTCATCTGTTAATATTAATGGGTCTTCTGTTTCCTTAAAATACCTCGATAATGTATAAATAGGAAAAATATTACTTTATATGACAATGACATCAAGAAAAAGGGAGAAAAATAAGATCTGAGTTTTCTAAAAGAAAAATATTAAATAAACAATATTTTTAAGATATATGAATTCTTCAGAGAAGACAATGTTTACACAGGGTGAAATTCAAACGTAATTTTCTGCTGAACAACTGTATATGGAGGACATTTATGGCAAATACAAAGCAGTGTTTATATCATTTGCATGTGTGTGTTTCTTTGTTCTTAAAAAGGTTTCAGTGAAAGACAAGAGCATCGTCTTAAAAGTGAATCTCAAAGGTTGAGGCTGTTTTGTTCAAAGGAGTAGACTTCCTGAGGTTTATGACAAATCAATGCGAGGGTCAAATTTAAAACACCTAGAGAAGTAGAGAATGCTGTATTCTTTATATTATCCAAACTATTCAATTAGGTTTTTGGAAAAAGATTGATAACATAAATTCTAGGTTATATAGGTTATCTCCCTAAATCTGAATAAAATTCTGAGAGTGTTTAGTGCTTATAGCTGTAACTGAGTACATTTTCCACTATCCCTCCCTCCCCACAAAAGGATAGATTGGTCATTGGGTCAGTCTTGTTGGAGACGACTGGCAAGTCAAATGGTTTTGGAAAGTAAAGTGGATTTCCGAACAGAAAATGTTTTTCCGCGGAAACTATGGAAGAGATCAAGGACGAAGGCAAACTAAACCTTGAAGATGAGGAACGGTAGTGAGCCATATCTAACAAAAGCTTTACTATTCATGGCTTCCTAGTTTGCAACTTAACGTGAAGTTTGTTCACATAGATCTGAGAAAATAATACCTAATTATTGTGAAAGAGGACTTAAGAGGGATTCTTTAGCATGGTTCAGGTGGGGCTTTAATAAGTAAAGGCAAAAATATTTTTGTTTCAGGTCTCTAAGATACATTTCATGTAAAAGTCCATAATATAAAATGCAAGCCTATACCTCTGAGTCAAAGATTCAAAAGCACTTTTAATATTATGGGGAAAAATTTTTTTAAAAAGCCTTGTAGATTATCTTCAAGGGTTTGAAATTAATTCCAAGCATTCATTAGAGGACAGGAAAAGTCTGAAAATATTATAGTATGCATGAGATGACAAATGGAAATTAAATGTGTACTATCCACACTATAATATTTCAGAGAATATGAAAATTAATAGTGATACCACAGAACCTGTATAATTTTTTTCCTCCGTGATTTTGTAGGGAATATGGAATTCTGTGAGAAGACCTTGTAGTTCTCATATTGTACAATGTTCTTTGAAAGCAGGTGCGTATGCCTTGAGTTGTGGTCTCCTAATTATTTAGTTGAGAGGTGTAACCAATGGACTCACCTGTGTGAAAGGATATTGGCTCTTTATGGACGCGGAAATTCAATGATAGTGATTCTCAAAATGTGGTTCCTGGACCAGCTGCATCAGTATTACTTTACAACTTGCCAAAAGGTAAATACTTGGCACTCACTCCAGAACAACTGAATTAGAAGCTCCAACAATCAGCGTTATAATATGTTTTCCAGAGAATTCCATTGCAGCTAAGTTTTAAAAACTGTAGTCTCTGGCAAAATCCGAGGCACAACCAGACACATCTCTGTCCACATTTTACAGTCTCTGGCAATTCATACTGAACCACTTGTAATAAACATGTTATTCGGGGTTCATCCTAATATTATGCTTCTAGCTTTTGAATGATTTATTAAAAATATAGCTAGTAATGCCCTTCTAATTTATCAGCAATGTATCCTTTTGGTCACCCATTAAATCACATGAGAAATGTTTAAATTCCTGTTACTCTGGCAGTGGATTGAAATCCAGGCACCGCCAGGTTAAAGGTTCCTTGGGTGATTCCAATGTGCAGCTACATTTTGGGACTACTTCCTTACTAAGCAAATTTCTCAGCTTGATTATGCATAAAAATTACCAGTTCACCTTCTGAAAACACACCCTCTACCCCCAGAGATTCTGATCAGAAGGTCTAAGATAGTTCTAGGTTGTTGCATTTCTAAATAGCTCCACATACAATTCTATGTTGTTCAGCCAGTGCTGGTACCAATATTTGGAAGCTCTAGAGAGAAAACCTCTCGGTACTTGTTCTTGTCAAGTGGTAAGGGATACTTTAAAAAAAAAAAAACCTACCATGAAGAACAACTCACCTATTGCAAGTTTTTGATCTGTAGGTCAGAGAAGTGACCTTTTAACACAAATATTATTTGAATGGCGTTGTCAGGTTACTTTCACTGGGGAAAAAAATAAAAAATCCATGAATATTCAGTGATACAAATGGTTAGCAGAAGACAATGCTAAAAATGAAGGGTATTATGACAGCCAACTGTTTTAAAACTTCAAGTTTGGAGATCTTTGTTACTTAGAATTTTGTAATCTGAACAATTATTCTGAAAGATTTTGATGGATCATTAGATAGGCAAGCATCTGTTCAAGTAAAACTGGTTATTTGCTGACAAAGCAGAAGATAATTAAGAATCATAATTAACTATAAGCTAGACATAAGTCAGGATTATAACACTTATTATAACCATGTATAATGATAAAATTTCTCATTATATTCATCTAAAGATTTTTGGGTGCTTACCGTGAGCCAGGCACTGTGTTAGGAGGCAAGCAAAAGTTACAAAGAATGGATGATAATCTTTTGTTATAAAATGTAGACTGTTGTTCTTAGGACCACAATTCAAAGAGGAAGTGTAAGACAAAAGTTCAAGAAGGGCAGTGGAAGTGAATGTGGAACATACTGAAGGATTTTACAACACACTTTGAAACGTTTAAAAAACCTGCAATGATTTTACTTGAATGCGGAAAGACAGAATGCTAAAGCTCAAGCATTGAAAGAGAACTAAATACATAGGGTGTGTTACGGGCTGAACTGTGTTCCCCCACAAATCATATGTTGAAGTCTTAACCCCTGGTACCCTAGAATGTGACTGTATTTGGAGACAGAGGCTTTAAATAAGTATCTAAAACAGGGTTGTTACGGTGTTCTCTAGTTCGGTCTCACTGGCATCCTTAAGAGGAGATTAGGACACAGACACACACAGAGGGAGGGGTATGAAAGGACGCAGGGAGGCCGGGCCTGGCGCGGTGGCTCACGCCTGTAATCTCAGCACTTTGGGAGGCCGAGGTGGGCGGATCACGGGTTCAGGAGATCGAGACCATCCTGGCTAACACGGTGAAACCCCGTCTCCACTAAAAATACAAAAAAAATTAGCTGGGCGTGGTGGCGAGCGCCTGTAGTCCCAGCTACTCAGGAGGCTGAGGCAGGAGAATGGCATGAACCCGGGAGGCGGAGCTTGCAGTGAGCCGAGATCGCGCCACTGCACTCCAGCCTGGGCGACAGACAGAGCGAGACTCCGTCTCAAAAAAAGACACAGGGAGAAGGTACCCAAGTACAAGGAAAGACGACTCAGAAGAACCCAAATGTACTGACAACTTGGTCTTGGACTTCCAGCCTCCAGAGTTATGGGGAAATAAATATCTATTGCTTAAGCACCCAGTCTGTGTATTTTGCTATGACAGCCCCAGAAAACTAATACAGATAGTAACTTGCTGTAGACACTGTCTACAGAGTAACAAACATAGGCAATTAACTGAACATGGGAACAAGACTTAGTTGGCCAAAGGTGGTGGTGCTTGCCTCCAATCCCAGCACTTTGGGAAACTGAGGCAGGTGGATTGCTTTGGCCCAGGAGTTTAAGACCAGCCTGGGCAATATGGCAAAACCTCATCTCTACAAAAAGTGCAAAAGGTTAGCCAGGCATGGTAGTGTGGTGATACATGCCTGTGGTCCCAGCTACTCTACCCTGAAGGCTGAAGTGGGAGGATAGCTTCAGCCCGGGAAGCAGAGGTTGCAGTGAGCTGTGATCATGCCGCTGTCCTCCAGCCTGGGTGACAGAGGGAGACCCTGCCTGGGAGAAAAATAAAAATTAAAAAAAAAAAGTCACTTCTGACTATAGGGATTATCTGGGAGTCTGCAAGGTCTTCTAAAAGGTGATATTTTAAATTTAAAAAGTTACCTATTTTTAACTCCTGGTAGAAGTAAACATTGTTCTTCCTTGAAAACATAAACAAAACAACACGAACATCTCAGTATTGATTTGTCATCTCCTTTTGGACCAGATCAAAGATCTGCCTGAGATAATTTGACTTATACATAATATTAAATGGTATTAGAGTGAGGTTACAGTATATGATTTCAGTGTCTTTTATCTCTTACATACTGTGTTCTCTACCCGGAAGGAGTGAAGCAGACTGAGGGGTCACGTGGTCCTATAGTATAGAAATCATATGTAGAAATTGATTCAGCTCTGATGCATACATATGGATGGATACCTTGATATTTAAATGGGACCTCTGTCTCATTTCTCCATCTCCCTAAATAATTAAAAATCAGTTCACTCTTCCGGGAATCATTTTGAATGAATTGAAGAGTAATTTGCAAAGCAAGACGTATAGGGGAAAGAGCATGCATGTGTGTTTGAGTCTATGGGGACATCGCATTTGGCATGAGGTGCTCAGGATTCAGAGGACTGTCTTGCATTTTCCTAGCAGTCAGTGGAGGCCTTAGCATTCCAACCTAGGAAGCTCTATAGATGTAAGCAATGTGTTTGCTTTATTTGACTGCTATTTATATGACAGTGACAAACAGATATGGGGTAAACTTACTGTTTTGAAAAGGTCAGACAAAGGCAAGGAAAATAGAAGCAAATGAAGTGAACGCATGAAAAATGATTACTCAAAGAAAGATACAATTATGCAGAGCCTGAAATCAACTCTTGGTTTAATGTTGTGATATGAGTCTCTCAAGAGAGGACAGCAATCCAAAACCATTTCCCCAGAGAAGCATGGAATTTTACAGTTAGATATTTATTTATTGTGGGAAGTATTTTTAAACATCTTTCAAAATGCAAATACTTAGTGTCAATGTGTTTTTAGACCCTCCTCTGTGAAAGAGATACGTAGAATGGTAGAACAAGGTAAGAGTCTAAGGGGAAGTGGGATAAAATTTCAGGAAGTGAGGGGTTGTGAATAGTCTGAAATGGAGTATCTGAGCTGCAGGAGGAGCAGCAGCCACTTACTGGTCCCTGCGGGCCTGTGCCCACTAGGGCATATCAAACCCTCTGATGGAGCTGCTCCAGGCTAGCCTCGTCAAGCCATCTCCCAGCCTCAGGCCGAGGAGATGCCTGACGGGGCCAGCCTGGAGCAGCTGCATCAGAACCCTACAGCTGTTAAGAACCTTTATACCAGCAGCCACAATAACACCAAGGTCACACAAGATTTCAAGCAATGGAGGATGCAGCAAGACAGGTGATAGCATCAGTGAAAACTTTAAATGAGCTACAAATGTTAACAGTGTTCCCCTGCTTAATTTACTGTTTTCCTAAACAGCTATGAACTATTTGAGGTGAAGCTCAAAAGGACATACTGAGGTCCAGGAAATTGAGGTCAAGCTGCATTTTCCAGACAGAGGTTTCAAATCCTACATGAGGAGGAAGGTTATTTACATATTAAGCCTTCTGCGAAGTTCAATAGGTAGACTCTTGAGAAGGCAAGTCTTGATTTGTAGAAAGGGCTCCATCTCTTAGGCACCTGAGACCCAGGTCACCCTTAGCGTTGCTCAGGTTGTACTTCAGAAGGACTCCCAGGTAAGGGAGGAGTGAGAGTTAAATTCTAGCTCCTGACAAGCAGGGCTGTGGGTACCCAGAAGATGGATCACTACTTCTTTATATGCACAAAGATTTTTTTTAATTTTATTGTATTTTAAGTTCTCGGATACATGTGCAGGACGTGCAGGTTTGTTACACAGATAAACGTGTGCCATGGGGCAGCAGCCATCACTGTAGCTCCAGGCCACCATTTTTTCCTCTGCTGGTGCTGGGGAGACTGGATGGCTTGGTCCCAAGAGGTAGTTCCTACATTTCAGCACACCAGCTGTGGAAGATCGTGGCCCAACTGCCTCTTTAGGACAGACTCTGACCCATCCCTCCTCACTGAGTGGGCCCTCCCTGCAGGAACTCCAGCAACTCCAGCCAGGGGCTTAGGGACCAAACTCTGATCTTCCTGGGCCTGAGCCCCTAGTGGGAGGGGCAGCTGTGATCTCCGTGGATCAGTAGATTTAGTCTCTTCTCCTGCTAGCTCTGAGGAATCCGGACAGCTCAGACGAGTGGGTTTCCCCCGAGCACAGCACACTCCCTCCACCAAAGGACAGTCAAAGTGCTTTGTTAAATGGGTCCTGGATCCCGTGCCGCCCTGACTGGGTGAGACTTCCCAACAGAGGTCACCAGACACCTTATCCAGGAGCATTCCTACTGGCATCCGGTCGGTGCCCCTTGAGGACAGAGATCCCAGAGGAAGGAGCAGGAAGCCATCTTTGCCTCCTTAGGTGACATCTCCAAGTGTGGGAGGGACCCAGGTGAATAGTCTGAAGTGAACCCCCAGCAAACCACAGCACCCCTACAGAGGAGGGACCTGACTATTGAAAGAAAAACAAAACAACAGCATCAACAAAAAAGTCCCCACAAAAACCTCATCCAAAGGTCAGCAACCTCAAAGATCTGAACCAGACAAACTCATGAAGATGAGAAAGAATCAACCAAAAAAATGCTGAACACTCAAAAGGCCAGAGTGCCTCTTCTCCAAACAATCACAATACCTCTCCAGCAAGGACACAGAACTGGGTGGATGATGAGATGGATGAATTAACAGATGTAGGCTTCAGAAGGTGAGTAATAACTGTTGAGCTAAAGAAGCATGTTCTAACCCAATACCAAAAAGCTAAGGACCACGATAAAAGGCTACAGGAGCTGCTAACTAGAATAACCAGTTGAGAGAGAAACATAAAAGACCGGATGGAGCTGAAAAACATAGCACAAAGATATTTTAAATGTACCAAGTCATACAGCCATTGAGACCACATCTTTTTAAGTTTTTAATTTGCAAAAAGTTGTAGAGGCAGCCCCTATCTCCCTTTGTGGTGTATCAGCCTCAGGGATCTTGGCAGGTGGACCAGCATTGGGATCTTTCACAGCATAATTTATCTCCATGCTTCTGGTGCTCTGAGTATCTGGATGGTCTGAGACTATTACTATGAAGAACAAAGTCATGATAAGGTATTTCTGCAGCCTAAGAAAACTGCAGCATTCTGTTCACTGAGAAATTTGTGCTTCCATAAAAAATGATTTTAAAACCCTATCTATTATTGCAGTGAATAAAATGAGATTTTGAGCCTATTGTTGGATTTAATCATTATTTTTATGGCAGAACTGGGGTTGTGGGAGTAGTTATAACCAGTTGTGTTCTTTTAATCTCTTTTATTAAGTCATTTATCATAAGTAAAATTCAGTTTCTGACCTTGGTGCTTTATTTAAGTTTCCAACTTATCTGTTTCTTAGCATGTTTTGTGTTCCCATTTTAAGTCTGTAAGGGTTATAGAATACTTATTTCATTTTCTCTATAAGAAACTGTTTAGCAATCTAGGATAGTGTTATGATTAAATGGCAAAAAGAAGAGATAATGTCAAAATTAAAGCTACTTAACAGTAAGGGGCATGGAAGGCTACATATCAAACCCATCTACACTCAAGCTTCATTTTCAATAGGGGATTTTCTATGGCCTCTTGGCTTTCTTGCTTAGCTTAATCCAAGATTTCTGATTATCAGGACAAGAGAAGAGACAAAGGGTGAACACAAAAAGTCATTTAGAATAAATGTATGTCATATGATAGTCCAAATTAAATGCTTTTGGTATTGCTGTATCCATATTCCTTTAGGTTACATCCATTGATTCTTTTTACATCTATCTGCATTGCATAGCCCTGTAATACTTAAAAAATTTCAAACAGAGTAATGAAAAGCATGGAAATTCAAAAGACAACAGTGAAAGTAATGGAAAACAGTATTAATAATGTCCAGTGGTTGAATGGCAATGAGTGATACTCAACGATTGAGGAGTGAATAAGATTAATTAATTTAACTTTGATGGTGATGTCCTCTCCTAGAATCTTGTTTCCTTTCATGTTTTTGGTACGCATCCTTCCTCTCTCTGATGTTCTGTTTCAAAATTTACCCTCACTATTAAGCTTTTCCTATTATGCCAACCAAGGTTAACACATTTTTTTTTTTCTGAATTCCTATAATAGTGCTGCTATCCACGCAACTATGGACTTGGTGAGGGCAGGAATAAGATCAGTTTGCATCCCATCAGACCCCTAGCACTGTTAGCATAGAATTGGGATTCACTTGTTTGTTGAATAAATAAATGTCTGGATAAATAATTGCCATAAAATTTGTACTTAATTTTCATAGTACTCTCATAAAACTGATATGTGTTGAGTGTGTTTTCGATTATAAAAATCTTGAAGAGAGGATCAGTGACTTTCAGCTCTTCATTTTCCTACCCTGACAATCCTCAGTTCTAACTATTGAGATTAACCTCATGAAGTAGAGTACAAGGTACCCAAGGGAAGTCTGGAGTAGTCCCTGTGACATTTCTGGTCTTCACAGAATGGTGTTTGTGGTTGTGGTGAGAAGCAGTGGAAGGTTCCTCCCACACACATGGTCTTTCACTTTTCCCTGAAATCTGGCACCCTTGACCTGCTTGTAACCTACTTTGTGCTGACCCATTCACCTTAATAAGAAAGGTAAATATATAAGCATTACAGTCCAAATATTTTTTGAATTTTTATAAATGGTGTTTAATGCTATGAGATTAGAATGAATCTACCATTTGTAGACATTTATTAAATGTCTACTATCTAAAAATTTAAATGTATGTACATCCTCTTTTTTGACACTCATTCGACACTCATTCACTTCAATGTTTTTAAATATACATACAGATAATGACCAAATTTATATCTTGCTGCACTGACTTCTAAACTCTATGCAGCCATGAAAAAGGATGAGTTCATGTCCTTTGCAGGAACATGGATGAAGCTGGAAACCATCATTTTCAGCAAACTAACACAGGAAGGAAACACCACGTGTTCTCACGCATAAGTGGGAGTTGAATAATGAGAACACATGGACACAGGGAGGGGAACATCATACACCGGGGCCTGTTGCAGGGTGTGGGGTAGGGGAGGGATCGCGTAAGGAGAAATACCTAATGTAGATGACAGATTGATGGCTGCAGCAAACCACCATGGCACATGTATACCTATGTAACAAAGCTGCATGTTCTGCACATGTATCCTAGAACTGACAGCATTATAATGATAATAAAAAAAATAATGGAGATAGCATTAGGGATGTCAGAAGGAGAGCAAGTTTGATTTCAGATACACTGAGTTTTTAATGTCATAAGAGATTTAAACTATACAGTCCAAATTTTTGGAGAAGGATTGAGATTTTGTTTTCCTATTACACAGAAGAATCGAAAATGAAAGATTTTATTTTCTCAGCATGGATGCATCCAGGTTTTGTGTAGCTGAAAGCTTTATACAAATTGGAGGTAGGGGACCTCTTGATACAAAACTACAAATAAAGTACTAAATGGAGTCTTTATTTAATGAAAAAACCCATAACAAATATTTGGAGCCTTGGATGCTCGAGTCTCTAATTTTTTAAGATGTCAAGTGCTTTACTAGAAATACTTACAATGTTATGATGAAATGCTTCCTGAGTGTAACCTGGCTTCCCTTCCTTAGACGAGAACTCCTAGAACTCACGGGTCCTGAATCTAAAGCTTAATTCACCTTGCAGTAAATTCTCCTCTGTTTGGTCCTTGAGGATTGATAAAGACTTATTTTGTGTGTGTATATGACCATAAGATATTTCAAAATGCACTTTTATTTCTTCTTTTTATGTATCTAGGGTAACTTTTAGGTTAAGAAAATGTTTTATTTAGGCTTTTCTAATTGCAAAAAACAAAGATTCTCTCAAGCTATTTCAGCAGAGGGAAGGCTCAGTTCAGGAGCTGAGAAAGTGTTCACCCACTCAACATAACCATGTTGGATATATAATGCAATCCAGACCCTGTAACATACAGACACAGCACCTTCTATCAAGGAGAAGGAGTGACTTAGAATCATCATCACATAAATACATGTGCAACCGACTGCAATAGTGCTATGAGAGACACAATATGCCGAGCACATATGACAAGGAAACAAACCAGGTCCCCTGGGTTTTGTTTACATGTTTGCTATATTCCTCTTGTTTTTGATGATATTGCTGGAGGAGACAGAAGGGCCAGGACAATCAAGATTTTCCCGAGCAAGGATTATTTGAGCTGAGATTTATGTATGGATAGGTATTTGCTAGGCAAAAGTAGTAGAGATGAGGGATATGAGGTTTCAGGCCATGGAGTTAAGAGACAAGACTAGCTTGTTACAATGGCTCATACCTGTAATCCTAGCTACTTGGAGGCTGAGGCAGGAGGATTCCAGGAGGCCATGAGTTCCAGACCAGCCTGGATATTATGGTAAGACCACTGTCTCTAAAAAATATTTTTAAATTAAAAAATGAGTTGGGTTTCGTGGCGTGCTCCTATAGTCCCAGCTATTCAGGAGGCTGAGATGGAAGAATAGCTTGAGCCTAGGATTCTGAGGCTGCAGTGAGCTATGATTGTGCCACTGCACTCCAGCCTGGGCAACAGAGTGATACCTTATCACTTAAAAAAAAATTAAAAAGAAGAATGAAAACACAATACGCAACATAACATGGTGACTCAAACCTAAGGTTGATTTAGAATTCGCAATAGTTTCAATGAAAGCAAAAAGTCATGAGTCATGTCTCTTCTTTCTATATCTATTCTGTCTAGTTCATGAGTACTGGCCACAGGTGCCTATGAACCCTTGAAACACAGCATTCCAGATTGAGATGAGCTTCCATTGTGAAATACTCAGTATGTATTTGTATGTACATAGTTTGTAAAAGGCTTTGTATGACAAAAAAGGATGCAGGATATCTCATTACAAACTTTCATATTGCTTGCATGTTACAATAATAATACTTTGGATATTGGGTAAAATAGATACGAAAATTAAGTCGCTGGTTACTTTATCCTTTTATTAAATGTGGCTACTAGAAAATTTAAAATTACACATGTGGCTTACCTCTGTGGCTCCCATTATATTTCTATTGGACATTGCTATTTGAGCAATGACTCTTAGCCCTGGCTGTATGTACATCGCCACCCACCAGGCCACACAATAGACCTAGGGTAGTAGAATCTCTTAGGGCATCTGCATTTTAGACAAATGACCTCATTTGTTACTAATGATTGTCACACAGGTGTTCCACAGGCTGTTCCTGTAAATGCCATGGCTCAGATGTGTGTATTATACATTGTTTCTGCTTCTTTCAGCCCTTAAGCCTCTGGTAAGCTGTCTCTTTGAATCTAGTCAGAGTCCAGGAATCTTTTCCTGCTAGCATAGCCTCATGTGCGAAATAAGTTGTGTTGATTCATTTGCCATTAGGACGACTGTGGTGGCAGCCTCCACTCTGGATTTACTCTGTAGGGATTCGTAAGTCATTTTTAGTCCATGACTCTTCTCTTCCCCCTAGGAAGCCCCCACCAGAGACAAAACTAGAGCCGCTTTTTATACCTGATTTTTCGGAAGTCAGCTTCAGAATGGATTTGTAGAAAATCTTGTATCTCTACCAGCTCATTACACTTTGGGTAACGTTATTGAACGTAGAATTTAAGTTTTTAAAACAGAAATGTAAGTAGTTTCACGAAAGAACAACTTGTATAGATCATGATAACACCTCGTTAAATTGAATAGATCCTTGTCTTAGCTGCTAAGTAAGTTGATATTCCTTTAAAATACCATTCATTTGAGAAGCAGCAGGAATAAGTGTAGTTTTTTCCTCTCTCCATTGAACTCCAGCTTCATGAGATTATTTATTTTATTAAATAAATTCAAGCAACCTCTAAAATGTTCTCAATTTTTGCAGCATGATGTCTAATGTCTTTATATGGAGTGTAAAAACTCTCACAGTCTGGTCCAAGTCCAGTCTTGTTCCCCAGTTCTCCCTCTGCTCCAGACACCCTGAATGCCAGCCAAACTGCACTACACATTATCCCTAATGCATGCTCTGTGTATTAGTCTGTTTTCACACTGCTGGTAAAAACGTACCTGAGACTGGGTAATTTATAAAGAAAAAGAGGCTTAATGGACTTATAGTTCTATGTGGCTGGGGAGGCCTCACAATCCTGATGGAAGGCGAAAAGCATGTCTGACATGGTGGCAGGGAAAGAGGGAATGAGAGCTAAGTGAAAAGAGAAACCCCTTATAAAACCATCAGATCTCATGAGACTTATTCACTTCCACAAGAACAGTATAGGGGAACCACCCCCATGATTCAGCGATCTCCTACCGGGTGCCTCCTATAACACTTGGAATTTTGGGAGCTACAGTTCAAAATGACATTTGGGTGGGGACATAGCCAAATGATATCACTCTGCTTCTTCAAATCTCTAGTAATTTGAAATTATTATCATTATTACTACTTTTGAGATGGAGTTTCACTCTTGTTGCCCAGGCTGGAGTGCTATGGCGCAGTCTTGGCTCACTGCAACCTCCACCTCCTGGGTTCAAGCAATTCTCATGCCTCAGCCTCCCAAGTAGCTAGGATTACTGGTGCCCACCACCAAACCCAGTTAATTTTTATATTTTTAGTAGAGATGGGGTCTCACCATGTTGGCCAGGCTGCTCTCGAACTCCTGACTTCAGGTAATCTGCCTGCCTTGGCCTCCCAAAGTGCTAGAATTACAGGCATAGCCACTGCACCTGGCCTTGTAATATGAAATTAGATTGCTCATCCTAGAATCTTGTAACCCTTCTCCATAACAAACTTCTACTCATCCTCTCTTCTGACACCTTCCTTCCCGACTCCCTTACATAATGTTAGTTTGCCAAACTCTACTTCAGTACTAAACTCTAAAGGAATTTATTTGCATGTATACGTATTTTTCACAAGTAAGCACTAGAGCACAAGGTTGAAGTTCATTACATACCTGTCTTTGATGGGTAGAAAGAGCAGATTATTTGAAGACGTTACTGTATCTCTACCTTCAGCCTATGCTTTTCTCTTGCCATGTATTCCAGTTTCTATTTTTTCGAGACAGAGTCCGGCTCTGTCGCCCAGGCTGGAGTGCAGTGGCGCCATCTCGGCTCACTGCAAGCTCCGCCTCCCGGGTTCACGCCATTCTCCTGCCTCAGCCTCTCGAGTAGCTGGGACTACAGGCGCCGCCACCACGCCCGGCTAATTTTTTTTTTTTTTTTGTATTTGTAGTGGAGATGGGGTTTCACCGTGTTAGCCAGGATGCTCTCGATCTCCTGACATCATGATCCACCCGCCTTGGCCTCCTAAAGTGCTGGGATTACAGGCGTGAGCCACTGCGCCTGGCCATGTATTCCAGTTTCTTTAAGCTTCCTATATACAGTGTGATTTAAATCTACTTATCATCTGGATGATTTGTCTTTTAATATACTTCCATTTGCTTATGTTGAGTGAAGTTATCTGAGGTTAGAATAACGTACATAAAATGATATGTGAATTGTAGGCCTTGGAGAGAAGTCTTAAGGACACTCCTGTTTTTAGCTATTCTTCTTTTCCATTTGCTGCTGTGGACTGTGGTTTATTTTAGACTAAGGAAGGGCATGGTGCGGGGTTTCCACTGCTGCTTAAACTGGAGTTGAAATCCTATGTTCTGCTTCCTGGCCCACTCCCAGCCTGCAGAAGCCCCCAGCACTGAGGACAATCTAAACGGGCGGGATTGAATTCACCTTATCACCACTTCGCGCCGAAATTTACAGTCTACGTTGAGGGGTTCTGGGTTTTGTTTGTGTTGTTTAAATTGTTGTGGTATTGATATTACTGTTTTAAAATTAATAATTATGGTAGCATGCTTTGGTTTTGAAGCTTCAGGTTGTATATACTGAAGAGCAACATCTTTAATTTTTATTATTTTTATTTTAGATTCAGAGGGTACATGTGCAGGCTTGTTACCTGGATATATTTATGTAATGGTGAAATTTGGGCTACTAGGGCACCCATCACCCGAATAGTGATCATTGTATCCAACAGTAATTTTTCAACCTTCACCCGCTCTGACCCACCCCACTTTGGAGTCCCCGGTATCTATAATTTCCATCTATATGTTCATGTGTGTCTATTGTTGAACTCTCACTTATAAGTAAGAACATGAAGTATTTGATTTTCTATTTCTGAGTTATTTGTCTTAGGATAATGGCCTCCAGCTCAATCCATGTTGCAAAATACATTATTTAATCCTTTTTTATGGCTACATAGTATTTCATCATTTTATATATGTAATATATATTTTATATATGTAATATATATTTTATACATATATATTTATATCTATTTTATATATATTTTTATATCTATACATATATATTTTATGTATAAAAATGTAATATTTAAACATATATAAATATATATGTAATATATGTATATTATATATTTATATGTGTAATTATATATTACGTATTTTATATATTTCATATATATGTAATATCTATTTTATGTAATATATTACATAACATATATTACATGTATGTTATGTAGTATATATTACATATTACATATATACACACATATATATAATATATACACACACAGACACACACACAAACACAGAGACACAAACATCTTCTTTTCCTAGTCATCTGTTGATACACACTTAGGTTGACTCCATGACTTTGCTATTGCAAATAGTGCTGTGATCAACATATGAGTGTTGGGTAGATACACAGTAGTGGGATGGCTGGATCGAATGGTAGTTTTACATCTTTGAGAGGTCTCCGTATTGTTTTCCATAGAAGTTGTACTAATTTAATTTCCCACCAATGTTATATAAGCATTCCCTTTTCTCCGCATCCTTACCAATATCTGATGTTTTTGACTTTTTAGTAATAGCCATTCTGACTTGTATAAGATGATCATCATTGATTTTGATCATCTCATTGAGGCTTCAATTTGCATTTCTCTGATGAATACTGATGTTGAGCACATTTTTATATGTTTATTGGCCACTTGTATGACTTTTGATAAATGTCTGTTCATGTCCTTTGCCCACTTTTTAATTTTTTTGTTGTTGTTGTTGTTTAATGAAGTTGTTCTTTGAGTTCTTTGTAGATTCTGGACGTTAGTCCTTTGTCAGATGCATAATTTGCAAATATTTTCTTCCATTCTGTAGGTTGTCTGTTTATTCTGTTGTTTATTTCTTTTGGTGTGCAGAAACTTTTTAGTTTAATTGCATGTTATTTGTCTATTTTTGGGTTTGTTGCATTTTCTTTGAGGTTTTCATCATAAATTCTTTCCCTAGACCAATGTTCAGAAGAATTTTTCCTAGGATATTTCATGTTTTTTTAATAGTTTCAGGTCTTACATTCAAGTTTTTAATCTATCTTGTGATAATTTTTGTATATAGTGAGAGGTATGAGTCCAGTTTTTTTAGGCATATGGCTCTCCAATTTTCTCAACACCATTTATTGAATAGGATGTCCTTTTCCCATTGTTTATTTATGTTGATTTTGTCACAGATCTCTTGGTTGTGTGTGGCTTTATTTCTGAATCCTGTTCTATTGATCTGTGTGTCTATTTTTATACCAATACCATGCTGTTTTGGTTATTATAGCCTTACAGTATAATTTGAAATCAGATAATGTGATGCTCCTTGCTTCGTTCCTTGTGCTTAGGATTACTTTGGCTCTTCGAGCTCTTTTTTGGTTCCATATGAAATTTAGAATTTTTTTTTCTTATTGTGTGAAAAATGACATTAGCAATTTGATAGGAATTGCATTAAATCTGTAGATTGCTTTGGGGCAGTATAGTCATTTTAACAATATTGATTCTTCCAATCCATGAGCATGGGATGTTTTTTTCTTTTGTTTGTCTTCTATGGTTTCTTTCAGCAGTGCTTTGTAGTTCTTGTAAAGATCTTTCACCTCCTTGGCTAAACATATTCCTAGATAGTGTGCTTGTGTATGTTTGTGTGTGTGTGTGTGTGTGTGGCTATTGTAAGTGAAATTGAGTTCTTGATTTGGTTCTCAGCTCGAATGCTATTGGTGTATAGAAATGATACTGATTTTTATACATTGATTTTGTATCCTGAAACCTTACTGAAGTCATTTACCAAGGCTAGGGATCTTTTGAAGGGACCTTTAAGATCATGTCATCAGTGAACAGAGATAATTTAACAATTCCTTTTCCTGTTTGGATGCCTTTTACTTATTTCTCTTGCCTAAGTGCCCTGGCAAGGACTTCTAGTACTATCTTGGAAAGTCGTATTGAGGGTGGGCATCCTTGTCTTGCTCTAGTTTCTTAGGGGAAATGCTTTCAACTTTTCCTCATTCAGTGTGATGTTGGCTGTGAGTTTGTCATTTATCACTCTTACTATTTTGAGGTATGTTCCTTCAATCCGTAGTTTGTTGAGAGTTGTTATCATAAAGGCATGTTGGATTTTGAGTGCTTTTTCTGCACCTATTGAGTTGATCATATGGGTTTTTTTTTAATTGTTTATGTGGTGAATCACATTTACTGGTTTGCATAGGTTGAACCATCCTTTGATTACTGGAATAAAACCCCCTTGATTGTGATGGATCATCTTTGTATATGCTCTTGGATTTGGCTTGCTAGTCTTTTGTTGAGGATTTTTGCATGTGTGTTTTTGCATGCAATATCCCAGCATCAGGGATGTTGACTTGTATTTTTCTTTTTTTGTTGTGCCCTTGCCTGGTTTTGGTATCAGAGTGATACTAGTTTCATAGAATTAGTTAGGAAAGAATGCCTCCTCCTTAATTTTTTTTTTTTGGAATAGTTTCAATAGGATCGATACCAGCTCATCTTCATTCATCTGGTAAAATTCAGCTGTGAGTCCATCTGGTCCTGGGCTTTTTGTTGTTCTTGGAAGATTTTTTGTTACTGATTTAATTTCAAGCAAAATCTTTTAAGAAAGAATTGTAAAATATACATATCTAAGCCCAATTAAGACCAATAAAATGTTTGTAAGTTGAATTAAATAGTTTCTCTTTATTCCTGGTACAGTTTAAATTGCCACTTGTCTTGAAGTAACCATTGTCTCAGCTATGTTACAGATACCATAGCTTGTAAAAATAAACAAATGAATTTGATGCCAAACTTGAAGCTCATATTGGAATGTAATGGTTTTAATGCAGACACAATTTCTTTCTGTATCCTGATTAGATTGAAGCATTGTTTTCTACTGTAACAGCATAATATTTCATCAAAACATACCTGTGTTTGAGAGCTCATAAGGTCTTCTTGTATATTGGGAACAGATATGGCAATATTAATGACTATGTTAGGTTTTTTATACTAGCACACTTTCATATATGTATTTGTATTTATAAGAAATTTTTCTTTCAAATGCTGCGTTCAATTGACAAAAAAAAAACTGCAAATGAAGCACAGATGCTGTGAATTGGAATACAATGTGCAATGCAATTTAGCCCTGTAGGCTTTCTGGAAAGAACCCACTTCCCCTATGATGAGTAGAGTTGTCAGTAGTGACAATAATGCTGTTAGACGTGAAAACCAAGTGTGCTCACCTATGATTGACTGACAAAGCCACGGTGCCTCCATGAATAAAATCCAAGTGCTGCGTTACAATTCATCTCATGATTTTTGTGGTTCAGTAATTTATCTTTATAAAACACCAATGACAGCTAGTATTCCGTTGTTCCTGTGAGTGAAATATGATATGCTTGCAATATGGTTTGAGGATTCACTAACTATGGCTATGTACACATAATTTGTAATCAAGTTCATGCATGAGTAGCTGAAATATAAATAGGAACATTTAAGACTGTCTCAAAACTAGATTGAATTCTCCATTTACGTAGTCATAGCAGGATGGTTCAGGTACATGTCATAATGAGCCTTTGATGAATGTTTGAGACATTCAGAAAAGGAGTAGAAGCCAAATGAGAACCAAAAAGAAAAGAAAAACAGAAGAACCATAGCATTACAAAGCTAAAGACTAGATAAACTTAATTTTTCAGAAGCAAATCACATAATGAAACACCAAAATGAGAATTAAAAAGTCAGAATTTACTACTATTTGAACTCCTGAGTTTAGCCATTTTTTCTCTGATTTTCCAATGTTGAATGGAGATAATTCAGGTTGCTAAGTATAATATTGAATATATATTTACCTTAGAAATTTGCACATATACATTATAAGCATATTTGTGGGGATGCTGTACACTAGAAAGTACCATGATTTACTCGTATTATAGTCTATAGCTGCTATATTCATCCTCCCAAGAAATCTGTTATTATGCCATTTCTTCCGTCTATAAAGTTCTTACTAGATTAAGTTCAAACTTCTTTTTTTTTTTACTTTTCATAAACTTTATTGATAGTGGCCACAATAATTTTTCCTTTTCTTTCTTTTTAAGTAAACAACATTTAAAAGATAATAGTAAATGAATTCAAACTTCTTAATTTGAAATTCGAAGTCCTTCATCATCTGGTTTCAACTGGTACCTCTGGTCTTATCACTCATTCCATACCATGAAATGCATGCAAATTGCTCTTGCTGAATTATACATAATCCACTTGCTCATTCAGCAAACATATATTGAGTATGAACAACTCTGTGGGTTTAAAGATAGAAATATGCTGCTAATGGATATTCATTTATATATTCTAGGAGCTCAGGAAGGGGTGGAAACCATGCAAAAAAAAAAAAAAAAATAGCCTCCTACACTTCCATCCCTTAATTCTTGACAATCTCTTCATTTCAGGTAGCTTTTCCATCAATTTCCATAAATAGAAACTTTTCCATGAAGTCTTCCCTATATCCTCAAAAGAAAGTAATCCATCCATTCCATAGTTCATAGTGATTTCTTTTAATATTAAGCAATGTTCACTGACTTTTATAGTTACTTCTCTACATATGTCTTCCATAAATCAGTAAGTACCTCAGAAGTTGAGGACCATGTTTCAAATATTTTCTCTATCATCCACAGTCTTCAGAATTTGTAACTACAGAACAATCTGTTGAATGAGTAAAATCATGGAAGTATAGTTGGGGACAAAATTATTCTTATTTCTTTCTTAATTTACCTCCTTAAAGATGTAAAAGAAAAAAGTCTAATTTCTCTCATCTATGACTGCAGTGGGTGTAAAATCAAACCATTTAATTATTAAAATGAAAAATAGCACATTTTTAAAAGATTCACAGTACATTTTGTGAAGTTTTATACTGAATAAAGTTTTTTATAAGGAAAAATAAAGCATAATTATTGGAAATAAATAAAAGCGTGATAATTGTCTCCATTATATAGCTATAAAATTTTATGTCTATCATTAATCCCTTATAATTATTTAAAATTATTTCAGTCTTTTCGTATAATGTTAAGTAATAAAACTTGCATAATTATTTTTAAAAGTCTAAAAATTATAAATAACATTTATAATTCTGCATCTGTGATAGGATTTTATAACTGTACTTGTAACAAAATGGAGCTTACATTTTTAAATGTAAAATTGAATGAATACAAATTACTTTCTATCCTGAATACAGAGCATTATACATAGCTTGCTAGACATAGCCAAAAATACATACTTGAAATCATTATAATGAAGATGATTAAATAACTATAATCATTCTGAACCCTATCTTTATGATATTATGCCAAATGTGTTAGTAATACTTACCTACATTTTGACATGTTATAATCTACATAAATTTACTAGTGATAGATATACTTGGATTTCAGATAATGCACTAAAATTTTCTGCATATAATAAATATTTTTATAAATGTATTATTTCTTCCAGTTAAAAATAATCATCTCTAAAGAAAAAGTAAAATATAATGCTATAATTTCTTGATCAGGCTAATGGTGAGACGATTATTCATTCTTAAAGCTTTGACTCAGAGATAATAAATCTTGCTGAGAAAGACGTTTGAATTCATTATTTCTCATAATAAATGCTCAGTAAATATTTGATGAACTTAGGCGATGGGTCCCCATAGTTTTATTGTCAGTACTCTTCATGTTTATGCCAATAGGACCTAATAATCATATAAACTACATTTTCATCTAGCATCTGATTTCCATAAAATGATAACTTTGTCTTCTTCAGTATCATCTCATTGTCTTGACATAGTAAGAGCTAAATTATAATATTGATTATTATTAAGTGCCTAGTTAAAGAAGGAAGGAAATCATCCTAGTCAGTTTCCTTATGTTGCTTCATAAACCTATCCCTAGATGATCCACCAGCTTACTATACACCAGGCATTGTTAGAATTCTCGTCAGCTCTCAATGGCTCCCTTTTGTCACAAAGTCAACATTGACTTGAACCAATGTAAACGCTAAATACTTTAAGAATGAAATAACTATATGATTCCTGTCTTGAGGTAACTTCATCGATCACAGTAGAAAATGGTAAGTTTACAAGATGCTAAGTAGGGATTTATTAGGATGTTTACACGGTGGTAGACAGAGATCTGTCAGATAGGTGGACGGCCTAAATAAAAGCATGAGATTTGTTCTTAAATTCTGTCTGCAGAGCACAGTGAACAATTCAAGTCTACATGTAAAGTGATCTTACAGTGACTTACAATGGACTCTTTCTGCCTTTTGTATAGTACAAATGATGTTTGTTTTCCAAATGTATACAGCTAATTGTAAACTCTTTCTTGTGTAACCATAACTTTTGTTTGAGCCAAGACATTACCAGAGTGGGAAAGCCGCTGTTTAAACAAAGAAGAAAATCAACAGTGAAAAGAGGTGTCTAGTGACCAATTTCTGTTTGCTTGAGTTCCCTTTGAGAACGGGCTGGGAATAAATAAATTAAACAACTGAGGCTTTTACAGGAAAACAATAACAAAAGCCCTTTTCTGTCTTTGCACAGTTCAGAGACAAAAACAGAGGTCACACATCCTCCAGCAAGTCTGCTTCATATTCAGGCGTCTCTTACAGGGACGAAAAAATCTCTCGTAGAAGTCATGCTCAATAAAATGCAAACTCGTTTACGAAAATGCCAACATTTTCATTTTCTTTTGATGACTTTCTCAGAGAATAATGATGTTCAGCTTAGGGTTTTTTATTTTATTTTTATTTGTAGTGCCCTTTGGGAAAGAACATTTTCTCTTTTAAAAGCCACACAAAGTTTAACTCAAGCAGTCTCATTGTTCTTTCTCCCACAAAGCTAGCAAGAAAGACTAATGTATTACTTAATGAAGCTATTCATTGCTTAATAAAAATAAGAATTAGTAACAATAACTGTTATATTCACATTAACCTTACTTTTATGCTTTAACATAGAAATTGTTCTGATGTACTATATTTCTACCATAATTTGCTTTAAAAAATAAAGCGAGTGGGAAGTATAAATCCCATGATATGAAAAGTAAGATATCCTTTTCATTGTTATTGTAGAAATCTGAGTTAATAACCTGTGCTAAACCCAGCTAACAAAATCTCAAGTTTTGGAAAGTGCAGAGTTGTAATACTGATGATAAGTGGCAGCTCTGAAAAGTGAAAAAAAATCTTTGACTTGAATTTCACAAACTTGGGTCTTACTACCAGGTTTTCAACTTACTAGTTTATATGGGCAAGTCTCTTAAATTTTTTGAATCTCGATTTAATCATCTGTTCATTTTCAAAATGGGAAGTAACTCTGGCTGTTACACAGAATGGTCACTTATTAAATTTTTGATGTTCACATATAACTTAAAAGAAAGTTCATATGTAACTTTAAAGAAGGCTATATGTGAACATTACAAATAATGATAAGGACCAATATAATAAACCTCTGGTGCAAGATTTTTATAACGAATCATCAGCATTCAATATAGGAAGGCTGCAACATTGCTCATAGATATCTCCCTTGAAATAGGTAAATTCACCAGATTTACAAAATGGATTAGCCAAAAGCTTATATTAAATATTATTTTTAAAAGACAATATGTATATTAAGAATTGATGCTCTGTGAGGTCAGTAACTTTATTTTTGATGTAGTCATATTGTCTAGGGTATTGTCTGACATAGTATTGAATAATTGAATGAAAGAATTCCCTGAATATACTTTCCTTTAGTATATTCACAGGCTGATTTAGTTCATAACTACAATCCTCATGAATATGTTCTTCATGAATATATTTATTAAAAGACTAAACCTATGACCCTTAGCTTTTGATAAATTAAATAATCCCTACAATACTACTAATATATTCACATTTATTGGATATATTTAAGAGAAATATATTCATGAATATATTCATAAGATGAATACATTCATATTCATAGAATATATTCAAGAAGAATATTTCTTAACACAATTACCTAATAAATTGGTAAAATTGATGAATTTGGTGAGTTAGTCATCACCTGATTCTTTAGATAATTGTTTTTGGCCAATCCACTCTTAGAGAATTGGTTTTCACTGAATTGATCTAGAGACCCTTCCCTTGACTATGACCTGTGTGATCATCAGCAGGTAGCTACTAGCTACTGGAGTTTACCACCCTCTACACCTGTGAGCTGAGATCACCTTCTGTGAAACTGCTGTTGGGGGATAGACAGGACCTCCATCTTCCAAAAGGAGGGAGGTTAGAAGCCAATGTCTTCTTCAGACCAAGAGTGACTTAATTCGCTCATCCGGCTTACTGTTTCAAATTCTTCTCCCTAAATTCTGTGCCTTCTTAGTCCTCCTTGTTCTTCAGAGGCTACGGCTTTACCTTGGGGAGATTTGATAGTGGGCATGAAACCTTAGTACAACTTGTTAAAGGCTGAGCTAGACACAAAGGGGACACTCTAATTTAGCTATTAGTCTAAGTGTGTAATCCATATAAATCAGGTGTGACCAGCCACATGAAACTCCTTTCTCAAATAATGTATATTTAGTTTTTCAAACTTGACTTATATCCCCAGCTACCAAAGAACTTAGCTTCTCCAGGAAAGTCACTGTCATTGTGAGCCATGGTTTGGATGACATCATCATCTCTCAAATATGTGAGAGCAGAGTGAAGATTGAGAATCTTCAAGCTAATTTAAGCCATGACAGTGGTGAGATTTCAAGAGTTAAACATTAGGCTATTTGAACCATCTGGTTATACTTTTTAGTCTAAGGCATACAGAGATGGTGAATTTAAGAAGAATGAAGATGAGGAAAGCCTGAGAAAATTTAAATACAGGGAAGATGATGGACTCTCTACAGTTTAAAGGGAAAGCAAAACAAAATGGTGCTTAATTTTATATTATGTATCTGTGTGTCATAAAAGAGCCTTAATCATGGTTGATAATTAATCAAAGGAAAGCCCTTTATTTTTATTATTAATTTATTACTATTACTATTATTTATATGTAGAGAAAGATGGGGGTCTCACTCTGTTGTCCAAGCTGGTCTTGAACTCCTAGTCTCAAGCAACTTTCCTGCTTTGGCCTCCCAAAATGCTGGGATTACAGATATGAACCACTTCACCCAGCCACCATTAAGTTTACAAATGAAATTAGACATAATTTGAAAGTGATATCAACTTGAAAACCCTTAAAAGTGTCCTGAAGTCACCTTCAAAAATTTTATGAAGACATTGTCTACTATGCCATAGTCCACCAATAATTTCTTCTTATACACTGCAGTTCACATGACATTAATGGCATTGATAGCTATCAGTTTTGCTAAATTATAATATATTAATATCCTACAACTATATGCATATTTCATGAGTTTTTTGACACATCTATACCCCCATCTAATGAGTTTTAAAGATAACAGTGACTCCAATATTTTCCACATTTTAAGGTATTTTTATGTTGTACATTAAATATATTCTTGCCCTGATTTATTATTTTATTTTGTTGACATATACATATGGAAAAAGTCCATATTATGATTGTATAGTTCAAAGGCTTTTTTTTAAAAAAAACTGAACATACCTATGTAACTAGTGTCTATATCAAGAAATAGAATGTTACCAACCCTCCAGATTGCTTTTAGTTTCAATAATTCATTTTAACTAGAGGGATGCTCATCTAGCAACCAACTTTAAGCAATACGCAGCAAGTAGCTACCAAAAACAATATAATTGTGCTATATAATAAAAAAAGATTATCTGTGGATCTAGCTAATGTTGTCTTTAGATAGGACATGTTCTATAAATAAGAAAATGATAATTACTCATTTGTATCATAGAAGTTTAACATTATATGTCATCTAACCTACCAGAAATTCTCTCACATAATTGCCTTTGTGGGGTATTGCTGGATGACATCTTCATCCTAATATTAGTATTCCAGAGAATTTCTGAAATAGAGAACAAATGCTTTTCCCAAAAATCTTACTTCTATCTTCAATTTCCCAGTACTTTCTGGGACTCTACAACTTGGCGTTAAATCACAGAAGTGGCTATGAATTCCCTTTCAGATTTTACCTGGTAAAAGATCTTAGTTCTTTCTATGGTCCTGGTTTCATCTTCCATATTGGTATGTCATTTATTTATTCCCAAGATTCTATGACGTTACCAGGACTTCCCATCTTCCCTTTACTAAGATACAATATTCAAGTGACGAGTCCTACATTTTCCACATGTAATTTTCTTTTTTCATCTCGGTGAAATCTCTTTCATCTCTGTAGGTGTTCCATGGCCATTGTGTTTAATGTTTAGAGTCATCCAGAACGGCAAGTACAAATGTGAAGCCAAAAGTTTTCAACTTCAATTATATAAGTATTTATTTTAATGTGCCCTAAATAACGTGTTTTTTTCCCCCCAAATCAATACATCATCATTGGTCTTTCTATTCCTCTCTATGGCACATGAATGTATTCTAGTCTTTTTTTTAAGTAGTTAGCATGAAAAGGAATCTTGTAATTCAGCTGGAATGAAGCGTTCATTTTAGTGATAAAAATTTGGAGGACAGAGAGAGAAAGCAACTTCTTCACATAATATTACAGTACATGCTGCCCAAATTCTAACCCAACTCTATTTTAGTATATCACACGGCTCTCCTGTCTTACGTAGCATGTAATGAATATCACATATGTGTGCATACACATATACAAGCACACATACCTGACTTATGCACATGATGCCAACCCATGAAACCATATTAATAACAAATCAATATTTTTAAAATTTATGCTAGGATAAAAATATTACATTTTAAAATATTTTTATTTTTAACCATTAATCAAATGCCTATCACATTTAGTTTATAATCCACAAAAAGACTTGGTAACATACATTTATATCCTAATATGTGTTACTTCACTCACATAAATACTGTTTTAACGTACTCACCTATGGCATTTTTCCACACAAGTTTTGCCACTAGGAGTAAGAAAAACTACCAAAAGGGCAGTTGACACTCAAAAAAGATTATTGTTGAATTGAAGATTTCTGAAGAGACATAGTTAATGAATACCTTGAGAGGTACCTTTCAAGGTTCAGTCCTCATTAATGGTTTAATTGGAGGAAATGACATTGAGCTGAAACATACAGAAGCTGCTAGGAGTCATGTAGAAGAATAAGTAGTAGAGAGGTTGGCAGGAAAAACCTACCTGTAAAAGGTAAGCACTGAGTTTTTGCCTATATCTGCAGCCTGGGTGCATCCTTTGAATAAAAGTTAAAGATTATCTGGTGGCATGTATAAAAACAGAGTTTTATAAAAAAAGGATTAATGCAGAATTATCTGAAATAAGAAACTCTATTCTTATTATGCAATTTATAAAGCAATTTAAGAATAATTGTTTCTATTCAAATCATAAAGGATTGTACCTGGATGTAATATTTTAAGATGTCTTTTCCTTGTCAGGATTCTGATCATGATGATTTCCTGAACTTGGGAATTTCTGAGCCCCTGAGTGACTGGATAACCTCTCTAACTTAAAAACAATTATCTCACTCGTGTTACCCAGTAAACACAGGTATAAAAAGGCTCTATTTTAATGAAAGCCACTAAAATTCAAGTTCTTTATGATTATTATGGAACCAAAATTTTGAAATATTTCAAAGAATAGAATTAATCATACATACTATTTTAAAGGAAGCCATTAAATTACATTTCTGACAATTTTTCATTTTAAGCTTTTGTTATAAACATTTAGAAAAAATGAGAAAATTGATTCAAGAATTAACCTTGTCTAAATTGTCATTATTTTCATTTTTGATATTCCTATTATTCCTTTTTAAAAATACTTTTTGCATTGCATCTATAATACTAATATGACAGAATTTAAAAAGTCATTGACCAATAGCATTACATAATTTCTTCCTTAATACATAAGAGGACAGGAACTATGTGCCTTTGGGACATGGAGAAGAGGCAAGGTGCTCTGTAATCATTCTAGTGTTCATTTCTCTAACAGGATAACACCAGCCTTGAAGACGGGACCAATAGAGTTTTAATGGCATATTACAATTAGGATATGGAAAACAAGAGAATGCCTATATTTGGGATGACTTCTTGTCAGATTCCCAGTTGGATACCAAACTAATCTCAGCTACACTCTGTCTTCCCCATTTATTTTTATTTATTCTTCCAAAGCTATGTAACTCTGATTTGTAAAATATAGAGAAGCGTTTTCTAGAAATTATAAATATGTACATAAAGCTATTTACATATCATTAGACCATACAGTTGGGCAAACTCCATAAAGTCTGGAATCATCAGATTTATTTTTATATTGTCTACAATGTGTCAAATAGATATATCCTCAGAAAAAGTCAGAGGAATTGATTTGAATGTCCTTGCCGTTTACATAGTGTCAATTTTCTATAAACCAAGGATGATTTTGTGCCTTTATAGAAAACTAAGATATTACATTTATCTGAAACATATATGGGACAAAAATAAAGGTCTAAAAATAACTTAGTCAATTTAGATTTAAGAAATTGTAATAATAATAATGAAAACTTATATTCCTAAAATGATACAATAACAATCTTATCACTACAAATCTCTGCTTAGAACAGAACAAAACAGTGACTGTAAACAAATACTAATATTTAATTTAAAAAATTAACTTGGATATTTATTTTAAAAAGCTAAGGAACAGGAAATATAACCTATAAATGTTTAAATAGAAAAAACGGAACGTAAGAAAAATAATCTGAAAAGCATAAATGAAATGATAATATATGCATTACCCAATAAAGTCAAATGGTGCAATTAAAGAATGATGAATTATATAAACCAGGGTTCTGAACCTGAGAGAAGACCTAAACCACTGAAAGTGCATACAAATTTGGGGTATATATGAATGAGTTTTTCTTGGATCAGGATTCATAGTTTTCATTAGCTTCTCAATATACACCACTATTCAAAGTTCTTCTCCTTTATAGCTAAACTACTCGAGGGTCATATCTTCCCTTTCCATTCACCTACCATATTCTCCCCTTTCCACTCCAATCAACATTCTCCTTCACATTCTCAAATCTAATGTTCACTTCTCCTCCTTGTTTTACTTGATGTCTCAGATGCACTTATAAGAGTTGACTAGTCCCTGCTTCTTCAAATAGTTTCCTTCTTCACATCACATTCTCCTATTCTTTTACTGGCCACTCTCTCAGTAATCTTTCTTTGTTAAAGAAAAAAAAATATTCAGTGACACTTGTTACGGCATGGTGAGAAATATTTTATTCAGTGCCATCTCAATGGGTATGGGGACCACAGCAATGGGATTTTGCAGTGGCGGAGACTACGCTCAACTTCAAATATAGCACGGGCAAGTGGGAATTTATATAGCCAAAGAATAGAGTGGGGTCAGTGGATGCAACATTACTAAGAAGAAACATCAGGTGCAAACAGGATTCTGGTTAAACTGTCCTAACAGGATTCTCACTGAAAACAAGCTGGGGTGATCCACCATCCCCCGGGAGATGGCGAAGGATGAGGAACCTGATCAGATATCATCGGGGTAATTAGATATGGAAAATCAGAGCAGGGGGAGTAGGAATGGGGGTGTGTCTTGCTAAACTGACTTAGCAGGGTTCTTTGCTAAGCTGAATTGTATAAGGAATTGCACAGATGGGCCTTGGAGAAACTTCAGGAGCTTAACTAAAGTTTAGTCAAGCAAAGAATCTCTGCTACCTGGCCTCTCATCCATTTCCTCAACTTTGAAAATTTAGAGTACTCCAAGGTTCAGCCTAAACTCTCTTTTCTGTGTCAAGTCTCTCCCCAGGTAACTTCATCTTGCCCCGTGACTTACACTCATGACATACGATTTGTATCTCCAGACTACATTTTTTTCTTGAGCTCCAGACCCAAATATATAACTGCCTACCTGATATCTCTACTTGGTGATCTAACAGATTCGCCCAACCTCGACTCCCTCCCCCAGTCTCTCATTACAGTTAAATGGCATCAATTTCCACTCAGTTGCTTAAGTTACAGATCTATTTCTCAAACTTTCGACAGCCAGTCAATGACCCACCAGTTGTGCTTCCAAAACGTGAAAAATCTGGCCACATTTCTCCAGTGCTAACCTCCGTCCAAACTTCCATCGTCTCTTGCCCTAATGACGGTAAGAGCATCCTAATAGATGTCCTTACCTTCACTCTTGCCTTCTACTTATCAGGCCTTTACCTATATATTTTCTCTTATTTCCTCAGTCCTTCCCCCTTACCTTTTGCACTCTGGTCCCTTTGGTCTGGCACTCCAATACACCAAGCATATTTTCTCTCAGGGCCTTTGCATCAAATCATCATGTGGCTGACCTCTTGTTGTCCTTCAGGCTTCAGATTTACTGTCACCTCCTCAGAGCATTACCCTTTTGTCAATCATTCTTATCTCTCTATTACAATCTCTGTTTTAGTTATTTTATAGCAGTTATCACTGTCTGAAATTGTACCTGTAAACCCATTGTCTGTCTTTGCACACAAGAATATAAGCTCCCTGAGGGCAGGGGCCTTGTGTGTCTTCTTTACTCTTATACCCCTGGCACCTCAAACTATGCCAGTTGCATTGTAAGAGATGAATTAATGAGTGAATAAATGAGTGAAAGAATGAGCTTGACTCTTTGAAGGAGAACTGTAAAAGGGCTTAAGCTGGTGGGAGCAAATTTACACGTTCCTCTCTTTAGAGAACAGCTGAAAAGTTAAGATGAAAAGCAAAGACTGTCAAATCACCCCAGTCATAAGAAATCAGAGAAAGCAGACGATGATCATCACGTGCTTCTTCCTGTTTTTTAACCTTTCTTCAGTTATCAAAGTAACGAGAGTAGTTTGCAGTTACTCATGGCCAAAGCCAGATGAAATACAACAGATATTAAGTGTGACATCTCTTCATGATATGAATATTTTCTCTGTTATACTTTTTTGGGTTTTCCAAGTTTTTTCCAATAAATGTCACTTTATGGATGAAGAATTGTATTCTTTAAAAGTCTGTATTTAAAACCTGAAACCCATCTCAAATGCCACTCTATAATGTCTTTGTCTTGTGACCTCACACACTACATACAAAATGTGATGTGTTCCTTTTCTAAAACCTCCAAAGTGCCTTCCCTTTATACATACATGTACTTTGTCTTTATACATACATGACAAAATAATAATGATAAAAGCTGCTACTGTCTCTCAATAGTATCAGGTACCTCATATACATTATGACTCATGAATCATGATTTCCTCTATAAGGAAACCAAGTTACAAAGAAATGTAAAAACTTATTCAAATTAAAATAGCTAAATATTTCTAGACCAGAAACCAGTTATGACTTACTGTATCTCTAGTGCTAAAATAGTACTTAGGAAATAGTAGGTATTCAATACATATTTACAAATAAACAGAGGATTGATATTGTCATTTGAAACCCTGGTATAAATGACATCCTGGTATGATACCCAGACTTAACGGCTTTACCACACCCCATCTTAGATCTTACCTACATTTTTTCATTAATCAATAGTCAGATGAATTAGAACCCTCCTTGAAGCCAACAATAGCTTCCTATTCATGACAACTTGTATTGTGTTTTATATTCAACAGAGAATCAAATACTAAAAAAAAAACAGGAGAGACAATTGGGGAGAGTGAGAAATAAAGAGGAAAGAAAGATAAAGGAAAGGAGGGAAGGAAGGAAGAAAGAAAGGAAAGAAGGAAGGAAGGCAGGCATCTGCCAAAAGTGATAAGATTAATGAAAATGGCTCCTTGTATAAACATATTCCTACTAAAGTTACCTGGTCTGTAAGATTATGTCAAGAAAAGAAATTAATCATTGGCAGAATAATAAAGTTTCAAATAAGAGTTTTTGAAGTATAGTGATGTTTGTCTTTTGGCTAGGAATCAGTAATGGTTGAAAAAGCTACCAAAATTTTTTTCATGAACATTTAGTCTTGGGGTAGTTATTTAATTTTTAATATGCTAAAATATTGATCTCTGTAAGTTCAACATTTTAAGAGTCTAATTGTTTTCTCCTGTTTAAGAGCAAATAATTTCATATATATTGGGTTTCCCATTGTTTGATGACGTAGAAAACACAGCATAAAGTAGACATTGAATGAAATTTAGTTGAATTTTAAAATGAATAGCACCACTATTACTCCATTTGAAAACATTTACATATTATTGAGGTAAAAATTACATACAGTAGATTCTCATCGTTCTCATTAGTCAATATATAGTTATGTTCTGTATAGTCACTGTGAAAATTGAATTGGCAACTATTGAACCATTTTTCCTACGGGAAATACAGGGTTAGGTTCCTGCCAGCCTCTGATCACAATATTTGCACCAACTAATCAATACATAACCTTGTTTTGTGTGTGTTTCTGTTTAAAGTTACTGTATTTAATATTTATCATTGATTAAAACTGAACTCATGTTCAACAGCATTATAACTTATGCCTGAATCAAATTTAACAAACACATATTTTTTATGTAAGGCACATAACAGCTTTAACTTAGGAACACTAAAGAGCACTTCAGTACTATGTCAGGGGACCGCTTTTAACAGCAAAGTCAACAAAAGCACCAAAGTATAAAAAATATGACACTGGCAGGGTGCAGTGGCTCACTCCTGTAATCCAGCACTTTGGGAGGCCGAGGCGGGTGGATTGCCTGAGCTCAGGAGTTCAAGACCAGCCTGGGCAACCCGCTGAAACCCTGTCTCTACTAAAATTACAAAAAAATTAGCCGAGCGTGGTGGCTTGTGCCTGTAATCCCAGCTACTCGGGAGGTTGAGGCAGGAGAATTGCTTGAACCCGGGAGGTGGAGGTTGCAGTGGGCTGAGATTGCACCACTGCACTCCAGCCTCAGTGACAGAGTGAGACTCCATCTCCAAAAAAAAAAAAAAAAAAAAAAGGCACTGGATATACAGTGAAAAGAGGCACTGGATATACAGTGAAAAGAATACCTGTTTGCAGGTTGAGACCTTAAACAAGAAGGCAAAGCGTTAGCTCAGTTGGAAACTTGTGCCTTAGGACCACTCTGTACATGCATGAGTCTTTAAATGACCATGGGTATTGATTTTGGGTTTATAACTAAATTTTAGCAAGTAGGCAAATTCACAAATGTTGAATCTGCAAATAATAAGGACCAACTGTTCATGACATGCGCAGATCTTAAAAGTACAATTCAATGGATTTGGATGAGTATATACACTTAGACAGCAAACATGGAATCAGCATATAGAACTTTTTCTCTCCCTCAGAAAGTTCCTCGTGCCACCCTACAGTCCATTCCCACTTGTGCCCACCTTCCCATAGACAGCTGCTGTTCTGATTTCTATCAGCTTGATTTTTTTATTCTTTTTTTAAATTTTATTTTACTTGAAGTTCTGGGATACATGTGCCGAACGTACAGGTTTGTTATATAGCTATACATGTGCCATGGTGGTTTGCCGCACCTATCAACCCATCATCTAGGTTTTAAGCCCCACATGCATGAGGTATTTGTCCTAATGCTCTCCCTCCCCTTTCCCCTCACTCCACAACAGGCCCCGGTGTGTGATGTTCCCCTCCCTGTATCTATTTTATAAACTAGTTCTATGAACATATTCATAAAATATGTTATTTTTATGTCCAGGTTTTTCTTACAAAACACAATATTTTAAAAATTCATTGATGCTGTTGCTTGTATCACTAGTTCATTCCTTTTTCTTTTTTATTATTTAGCAATATTTCCTTGTTTGAATATATACTGTATGTACATGTGTTTATTTCCAATTTGCAACTGTCATGAATAAGGCTGTCAAGCATTCCTGTATGAGTATTTTTGCAACATACATTCTGATATTGGTAGATATATACTTAGGAGGGGGATTGTTGGGTCATAGGATTAATATATGTTTAACTTTATTAAAAATTGTCCAGAGTTTTCCAAAAAGATTGTACAATTTTATACTCCAACCAGCAATGCATGAGGGTTCAAATTGCTCTAGATGCTAGTTAGCCCTTTTAATTTTTGGCCACCGAAATGGGTATAAAATTATATATCATGGTTTTGGTTTCCCTGATGACTAATAATATAAAGCACTTTTTAATGTGCTTATGAATAATTAATAGATCTTTATTTGGGATGTGACTTCTGCCCATTTTTTCCAGTGATTATTGATTTACAGGAGCTCTTAGTATATTTTAGTATATTCTGTTTTAAGATACATGCACTGAAAATAATTTTTCCTAGTCTCTTTCTTGCCGTGGATTTTATTAACCATGTCTGTTGATGAGAAAAAGTTTTTAAATTTGATGGATCTCAAATTATCAAGTGATTTTGATGTCCTCTAGGAAACCTCTGTTAGCCCCCAGGTCCTGAAAATATTCTGTTTTCTTAGGTCTCAAATCCTTTCAGAACTATTTTTTTGTTTGATTGTATAAAGTAGAAGTCAAAAATACATCTTCTCTGTATTTATCCAGTTGTTCTGGCATCATTTTTTGTAAAAGACACTTTTCATTCACCATTAAATTGTCTTGGTGCCTTTGTTAAAAAACAATTGACTACCTACATGTGAGTCTATTTATGATCTTTCTCTGATGATATACATGTATAATCTTGAAATCAAATGATAAGTTCTCTAACTTGGTTTTTCTTTTTTGCTTATTTTGAATATTTAAGGATTTTTTTTGCATTTTCTTAAACATTTTTGAATCATCTCATGCATTTCTACAAAAACTATATTGTTGGGTTTCGGTTAGAATCGCATGGTATGTATCTCCATTTGTTTAGTGCCTTAATTTCTCTCACTGATGATTTGGAGGAATCAGGGTGGAACTTTAAAAGCTCCCCCAAATGACTCTCATGTGCAGACAAGATAAGGACCACTACCTAGATCCTTTTTTCTTAGAAGAATTTGGGTGCCTGTAAGAAAAGAATTCATCCCATCCATCCCTAAGATTCTACGTATTAAATAAATGAAGTGGTCATTTCTGTTTGTTTGTTTATTTGAGACAGGGTTTTGCTCTTATTGACCAGGCTGGAGTGCAATACCACAATCTTGGTTCACTGCAACCTCTGCCTCCCTAGTTCAGGTGATTCTCCTGCCTCAGCCTCTGGAGTAGCTGGGATTACAGGCATGCACCACCATGCTGGCTAATTTTGTATTTTTAGTAGAGACGGGGTTTCACCATGTTGGTCAGGCTGGTCTCAAACTCCAGACCTTGGGTGATATGCCCGCTTCTGCCTTCCAAAGTGCTGGGATTGCAGGCATAAGCCACCACACCCAGCTATGAAGTGATCATTTCTAATAACACATCCAAAAAATGTCATGACATACGATCTCCCCAATGTATTTGTTTTACTTAAAGTTTCTATTCAAGTGATTTTTCCAAAATAACCACACATTCCAAAGTGACTCTTTGTAACTTTACAATAAGGCATTTGGCAGTTTCTTTATCATAAAAAACAAAAGTACCTTGTACCTGCCCAAGCACCTTTTTACATGTTTTATCTGACAACAATTGATCATATTTATAATGTGGTTTAGATTGGCATGTGAAAATGAGAAAGGTCAAAATGGATCCATTTTCTTATGATATGGAATTTTTATAGATAAGAAATAGTGCATGGCATATTTATATGAAAATTTATATACCTTTTTAAAGTTTTATTGCATAAAAGGATAATTGATTATTAATAAGATATATTAGTAACACATCATAGAACCCTGTAACTGCCTAAAGATGAATTCATATTCTAGGAAATTTTGCTCTCAAGATTGAATATTGATCACAAGACTGAAAACTCCAGTCACTGTAATTTTACTTGAAGCATTTTCTAACAGATGTTACATCTTGGTTTGCCATTATATTTTAAATACGTTCTTTTTCTTTTTTCAACATTCATTAAACCAGTCTTTTCTTCTTGTCTCTAATAAGAGCAACATCTGTTTCTTCTTGTTCAATCAAAGCAACTTCCTCAAGAGTCTTACTTTAAAAATGATAACATTAGAAAGCACGGATAGAAAACTTTTCATTAATATTTTACATTTGCATACAAAACAAGTGTTTCTAACAATTATAAGTTAGGGAGGTGTTAGAGAAAATATTATAAAACAATTTAGTTATAAAAATATAAAATGAGAAGGTGCTGTAATATGGTTTCAAAGATGTTCGTTTTAGGTTAAATTTTCTTTATATGAATATCAGTTTCCTTTTAGAAGGTACAGTTGAAACACTTTTATCATTACGAATTATAACAATGGTACATACCACACTGTATGTGGTACAGAATTATAACAGTGGTACATACCACACCGGGTTCCAATTCAATCTCAGCCTCTTATGGGGCAAGCTCCACGTGTGCCTGAATATATTATGACCCCAAATATAAGGCAATTCTCCATTTTCCCTGGATTATTTTATATTTTTACTAACTTGCACATAAACTGTCAAGGCCTAAGTGAAGATGTCAATAATATTTATGTGTTTTTCAGATTACATACATAAATCATTTAGAAAGTTCATTTTTTCATTCTCACTTTTTAGAAATAATTTTGTTCTAATGTCTGCACAGGCAACTTTAATGTCAGTGTCTTTGCCCTAACTTTGTGAATCATCTACACATTTCTGTAGAACAAATCATCTTCACCTTTGTCTTAGTTGTTTAAGATATAGGATAAGTTTCCCATATCACTGTATATGTTTTCCCAAGCCTCAAATTCCCATTAACAAAGGACTGGCTAAGATGCATTTTTTAGTTGTCCTGTAGGTGAAATTTATGATCTCCACATTGTAAAGACTTACTGCATTGCTTTCTTGTTTAGAAAGCTTATCACTACATTAATATTTGTAATTATGAGATAGTAAACTCCAAAGACAATTTTTTTTTTTGTTTTGAGATGAAGTTTTGCTCTTGTTGCCCATTCTGGAGTGCAGTGACACGATCTCAGCTTGCTGCAACCTCCACATCCCGGGTTCAAGCAATTCTCCTGCCTCAGCCTCCCAAGTAGCTGGGATTACAAGTGCCCACCACCACACCCGGCTAATTTTTTGTATTTTTAGTAGAGACTGGGTTTCATCATGTTGGCCAGGCTGGTCTCAAACTCCTGACCTCAGGTAATCCACCCGCCTCGGCCTCCCATAGTGCTGGGATTGCAGGTGTGAGCCACAGCACCCTGATGAAAGACAAATTATTAAATGTGTCTCAGCTTACTTTTCTATGAAATAAAATGAATTAAAGTGTCCATGTTTTTGTCTTAATAATATAGATACACTGTCTCCTATCTGGCAGCCACCATTCTAATGCTGTACAAATACTAATAGTAACTAGTATACAAATACTTAATCCACCTACTCAAAGCCTCATTTTATTTCCAGACCTGATGCTGTATGAGATATGGCTATCCCCAGAAACTGAGCACTTCTCCAGATGTGGTAGCAAATGGAAGTGTGTGTGCGCATGCGTGTGTACCCATGTGTGTGTGTGCATGCGTGTGTGTGTGTGTGCACGTGTTGTGTGTGTGTGTTTGCATAGTATAAGAAAACTCTGATCATGGATGCACAGGGTCTATATAAATAATGTATTTTGTTGTGGTTCTTGTTTATTTGTTCAAGCTCTAGAACCAACTATGTCTGAGTTCAAATTCTAACCTTTACCTGTTACCATCTATAGGATGCTTACAGATTGGTAGACTCAGTCCTTCCCTATATACTGGAGATAATTGTTTAAAAAAATTTTGTGAGGTATTACGAATCAAATGCAAGCAAAGTATCACCATGGCTAGCACATAGAGCTTAGAACTTTATACTATATATGCTGACATATAAAAAGATCATGAAATTCTATTCTTCTCTGGAGACAGCCTTCAGGATACTATTTCTTACAAGATGTAGACAAAATATGAAAGAAGCAGCACATTTTTCTATAAGAAATTGGGTCTTCCTTGCCACATTTAAGAATAAACTTCATTACATTTGGGGACCCATTTTTATCATAGATTACTGAGGTATTACCTCTTGATAATTAACATTAAAATTTCAAAATAATAATTGGAAATGAAATGAATAGGAATCAAAGCTTAAGCTTTGATACAGTAGTGGCTGCTATCAGCAAGGATCCTTTAATCTGGGTTCTAATTTCTCTAGTAATTAAGTTCCTGGAAGAAAATAAAATAACCTTTTAATTTTAATCTGATTAGAATAATAGACCTTTTGCCATGAAAAATTAAAAGGAAGATGTTCCATTTCTAAATTAATTTTGTGATGGAGAAATTGTCGTGGAATTCTCTGAAAGGCTTTCTTGTTCTTCCACTTAGAGTAACCGAAGATATTTTATAAGGGTCTATCTCTGGACATGTGATTATTTAGGATTGGATTTGGGGACTGAACAAATATCACGTTGATATCTTTGAGATCCATGTCCTAAAACTGTATTTCATAGCAGGGTTTGTCAAATTATAAAGACAAAAATCAAAAAACCATGCAGTCCTATAGTTAATCAACAATAAATCCTACTTTGTACTTTAAAGGGAAATGCTATGGTGAAGATAGGGTCTTCAGTGCATCAATTCCTTGGGAATACCCAAAGGGACCCACTTGAGATGGAACTATTTCAGTAAACACTGCTGCTTGACTGACAGTTAACTTCAAGAATAAGCCTTTACATGCATAGAGTAATTTTATAGTACAAGAGATTGTATCTGTGTTGTTCTTCAGAATATTTGAAAGATAAGAAATAACATTTATTGTTTTCCCAATTTTTGTATGGACAGGAAAAATAAAACTCTGGGATTAAATGACTTAAGATATTCTTGTCAGAAACAGAACTTGGACTTAAATCATGCCTTTTTCTTTTTCCAGTGAGGAACTATCTTACAAAGTAACCTATGAGTACCAAAAAGTAGACCCTGATATATGAATATGGGTGCATATTGTTTATTTGACATTGGTCCAATAAATGCAATCTGGGAGAGGGGAGGTGAGACAAGTTGGGGTGGAAAGCCACAAAAAGGTTCTTTAATAAGGAGATTGTTACTATGGGCACCTGAGTTCTAGCCCACTGGAGTCTCTCTGAGAGGCTGTAGTAACTACAGTCCCTTGCACACCTAGTTTCTGGACTGTTCCTCTTTCTACATCATTGGAAGCCATTGAAATGTATGGGAGTTTTCTGCAGGTGACAGCCAGAGTGGGATGAAGAGATATACTTCATTTAATAACTTGATAACAGAGAAAGGTCAATTACAAATGGACTTAGGATGATGGGGATTTCCAGGAACATCTATTGACATTAAATTAAACTTAACAAAAAAAATTATATCCACTTAATCCTTACCCTTAGAATGAGTCATATTGCACATTACCGTGTAGAGCTGAGAAGCCATAGTCAGCAACTCCAATGCTATTTTTATTGCTTTTTTATGTTTCATCATTTACTTGGCCATCTATGAAACCTAGAGTGCCAGATTCCTGGTCATGATCACTCCCTCAGATTCATTCAGTTATTCATTCACACCCACTATGTACCAGACATGGTTTTAACTTTAGGGTTTTTTTAGTAGAGAAGAAAACAGACAAAAGAGAGCTTATAATCAAGTGATAGAAGACAGAAAATTAGTAAGTATGCTAGTAAATGAACATATAATAAATTTAGTAATGAGAAACTATAAGGAAAAATAAAGCTCAGAAAAGAAGGAATGTTGGGAGAGAGAGGAAAATGATATGTTATTTAGAATAGCTAGGAAAGACCACCTCTCTCTTAAGATGACATTTGCACAGAGATCTGATGTGAGGGAGCAAAACCATGCAGATAATTCACACGAGGCATTCCAGATGGTTCACATGACACATCTTAGTTCACCAAAAGGACTTTAGTCAGTACTTTTCGTGAGTTCAAAAAGAACAGAAAGCTGTTATAGGGAATAGTGTGATCTCAGTTATACATTTATAAAGATAATACCACTTTGTGGGGAGATTAGACTGTTAGTGCAAAGAGTGAAATCAGAGGAACAATTGGGGGGTAATGAAATACTCTGTATTCATCTGTTGATGGACACTTTGGTTGCTTCCAAATCTTAGCTATCGTAAACAGTGCTGCAACAAACATAGGAGTGCAGATATCTCTTCCGTGTACGTATTTTCTTCCTTTTGGGTATATACGTAGTAGTTGGATTGCTGGATCATATGGTAGACCAGAGATGATAGTGGGCTCACATAGCTGTTTGCCTTATTACATTATTTATATTATGCATACTATTTATACATATATTCACTTGTATGCTAAATTTTATAATTTGGAAAGTCTTTTGCATTAATTCCTTTAGAGCAGGGATTTTATACTGTTTTCTTGATTGAAACAAAATGTGCTCAGTGGCCAGGCGCAGTGGCTCAGGCCTGTAATCCCAGCACTTTGGGAGGCCAAGGTGGGTGGATCACTTGAGGTCAGGAGTTCAGGACCAGCCTGACATGGTGAAACCATGTCTCTACTAAAAATACAAAATTAGCCAGCTGTGGTGATGCACGCCTATAATCCCCGCTACTTGGGAGGCTGAGGTGGGAGAATCACTTGAACCCAGGAGGCGGAGGTTGCAGTGAGCCGAGATCCCGTCATTGCACTCCAGCCTAGGAAACAAGAGTGAAACTCCATCACAAAAAAAAAAGAGGGGCTCAGTAAGTATTACTAAATTAAAATTTGAAAATCCTAAAAAAAACCCACAAAACCCTGAGGGGTGATTATGTGTAATAATACTTACTATGAGTAACTACTACAAACATGTGACTATCTTCTAAGCTCCAACAGCCCTTAAGTTCTTTAAAATAGTTTTTCTATTTCTTAGTATAAACCAACTAGTAATGTATGATTTTCCTATAAAGGAGCACATGTAGTAAATAGCCTAGGCTTTATGAACTACATAGTTTCCAGTGCAGCTGACTCTTGATGTAGGGCATGTGGTATGTAAATAAATGTACTTGGCTACATTCCAATAACATTTATATGGACACTAACATTTGAATTGTATATAATTTTCACATGTCACTAAACATTATTCTTCTTTTGATTTCTTTCCAACCATTTAGAAAAGTAAAAACCATTCTTAGCTCACAGGTTATAGAAAAGCAGGTGGCAGCAAGCCAGATTTCAGCCACAAACTGTGGTTTTTCAGATTCCTGGTATAAATTATCAGGAGCTTGGAGCCTTGATCTGTGTGTCATTGATTTGCTCTCATTCTATTTTTGGACACCTTTATTCGTTAGAGTTCTCTTTCTTTTGTGAAACTGAAGCACGTCCTCATGTAACTTCTACCTGTGGATTCTACATTGTGCCGTCTGAAGAAGAATAGCACAAAATACCCCCCACCCACCACCTTGTCATAGCACAGGCCTTCACAGGGTCGAAGAAAGCCCCTCTGGCCCTCTTGGTTTTCTCTGCTACCCAGTGTTAAACTTTGTCCAGATGCTTATGTTTCCTGGCTGCTCTCCTATTTTTGCTTTTTAATTTTCTGACTATTCTTCATAAAATGAACACAAACTAAACAAAAGCTTTAAGCTACTGTCCAGCTAATGGACAATTCAATCTAATTTTTGTTTCCAAAGATCGTTGTATCAAGCAACAATGAAGTGCCATTGTTGGGGATATGCATTCTTGATTTATTTTGCTGTTTTTTTTTTTTAATACCATGTACTCCATTATAAAGATAACTTATTTGTAAATGTTCAGATAATCCTATCATTATTTTCCATGACTATTAGTGGTCAGTTCGTACTTATAACTACACATGCACAGTTATTATTTAGTACTTAATTTCTATAAACTATACTTACCAAATGTGTTTATTGAGAGAAAACAAGCTATACAGAAAAATAAAGATTTTAAAAACAAAGACAGACTTTAGATAAAAGCCATAAATTCATTTTCTTGTCTGAGAATAAGATCTAGCAAAGCTAACCAGAAAATAAATTACTAAGTTAAAGTAGTTCATAATTCACTAAGTTAAAATAGCACATAATCATAAAATGTGCTCAGTGGCTGGATGCAGTGGCTCACGCCTGTAATCCCAGCACTTTGGGAGGCCGAGGTCATCTAAATGACTTTTTTTCAATCCATTTCTTTCCCTAAGTACACAGCGGTATTAATACTGCTTCTCTACTTGATTGGGTTATATTATGCCTTATTCAGTTAGGTGGAGTATAGAACCACTTATGATGATGTTAAAGAGACATGAGACGTCAGTTTGAATTGTAAGCAGCACTGTATTTTCCAAGAGAAAAATACTTTTATTTGTAAAATCGTGATTTGTTGATTTTGGAAATTGTGTTCAGCTGGGTAATTTTAAGATAAAAATGACTTTTATCTTGTACTTACCAGGTTCTGGGTTGAATGATGGACAGTGGCACGAGGTTCGCTTCCTAGCCAAGGAAAATTTTGCTATTCTCACCATCGATGGAGATGAAGCATCAGCAGTTCGAACTAATAGTCCCCTTCAAGTTAAAACTGGCGAGAAGTACTTTTTTGGAGGTAAGAATGCCATTCCTTTTTGGTTACTAATCCATTGCAAAAAATGAGGTTTCAAAATGAAGTTTGATTATGAAGTATTTATATTTGACTCAACTGACTCAGTAGATCTCATGACAAAACAAACTGTAATTCCACTGAGCAAAACAAAAAAAGAAAAGGAAAAATTTTATTTCTTTCTGATGAAGATATTAAGATGATGTCACCATATTCTTCTGGCCTAATTTAAATCATTGAAGTATAAAAAAGGAGATTCTAAATTCATCCTCATAATCCTCAAAAGTCAGGTCCTTGGAATATTTGCTGTTCACCTAGTGCTTTGTAACTAATTATTCAAACCTTAGTGTCTTCAAACAAACATTTATTATCTCGCAGTTTCTCTGGATCAGGAATTCAGTAGTAATTTGCTGAGCGAGTCTTTCATGAGGTTGACGTCAAACTGTTACTTGTGGCTGCATCATTGGAAGCCTCGTCTGCTTCCGGTAGGTCTCACTTACCTGGCTGACAGTTGGTGCTGGCTGGGATGCCTCAGTTCTCTGTGGCCTCTGATTCTGTAATACCTTTCTTCTTCAAGTAGCCTCTCCCGGGGGTCACTGGGCAGAGAAATAGAGAGGGAAAAGGAAAGAAAGAGAGGAGGGGAGGGGAAAGCCAGTAAGTCAGGAAGTTCTCCAGATAAAAACTATGAGTATTTTTTAAAATATAATCCAATTTAGCAGTGATATCCCATCACTACTATTATTTTCAACCTGTGGGAAGTGAGTCACTAAATCCCGTCCACAGTTAAAGGAAGGGGATTTCACAAGGGCATGATTATAAAGAGCCATTGATTCCTGGGTGCCATTTTAAAGGTGCCTACCACAGTCTACCTTACAGAAGAAGACATGTTGTCACAAACATCTTGGTTCTTAAGTAACGAAAAGATTAGTAAGAAGAAGATTATCTTAATGATAAACTCTATGTGTGAAAAAGTGTTGTAGCAAAGACCTGTCACATTTTCTAATTGAAAAAATGTGTCCTGTCAGAAAATGATCTTTTTCATAACTAATACATTATGAGGACATATTTTATTAAAGTGCTGGGTACTTTGTTTAGATCAATACATCTTTTATTAGATTATTGTGTTTCCTGTCCTAAATCACGCAATGTGAGATGTAAAAAATAAATCACATGCTTAGAAAAGGCTTTTATTTAAGCTTTAAAATCTGTATGTTACATGTTTGCCTCTGAAAATGTTTCTATTTGTATTTACATATCTACTTTGTTTAATTAAATATATAGTTATATAGCTCTCTCTCTCTCTCTCTCTGTGTGTGTGTGTGTGTGTGTGTGTGTGTGTGTGTGTGTGTGTGTGTGTGTGTTCTAGTTTTTAGAGTAAGGTGACATGAGAGCAGCCACCTTGTTTATCTCATACCCTGCTATATTCCTCAAGGTCCTAGAAAAAATCCTGGAATGTTGTAGATGAACAATAAATATTTATGAAAGACTTAGTAAATTCTACAAATTAAGCAAGACGTCACTTTATTATGAATTGTCTAGAGAGGAAACAGAGGAGGCCCTAGGCAATTTACTGACTTGCCACTGAGTTTGCAGCTAGCACCTTAAGTTTTCTGAGTCCTATACCAGGGCATTTCTCCCCATCTAATTAGTGACAAGTTAGAGACAAAAATCATGAACTAGGGCTCTGCTTCTTTAATCTTCCATAATATTTGTTGGAAGTTAAGACTACATGATTTTTAAAAGACTCTCAATAAATATTTGATGAGTAGACGAAAGTCAAACAAGCTGTCTTATGAGTGAATGAACTGGACATACTGATGTGAGAAAAAACAACTCAATAGCCAAACTGGTTACCGTCCAAAAAAATATTCAATATGATTGGCTTATGGCCAACAGTTTTCATTGCTATGATCACAAATAGATCACAGTTGTCAGTGGGAAAGCTACTGATAATCTCTGCTGATCCCTTGACTGGAATATTTTTGGCCATACATGAGCTCCCTGAATGCCTAAGGCCAGTTTTTATCGATTTCAATCTAGAGGGGCGAGCACATAGCTGTAACCACACATTCATGGCATAGAGTTTATAGGATATGAGGTCTTTATGGTGTGCTATTTACATCAGTTTACAGATTCTGGTTTTTGAGCCCAGGAGTCAGGAGAATATTGATTTCCTCTTGGGTCTATGGTCTGCCTTTAGGATATACTGTCAGCTAATGATCACGATGCTTGTTTTGTTATATCGTCATTAGCTGAATCCTAAGTGTGTAAGAATCATGAGAAGAACTCATTGCCATTCTGGCTCTCAGGCCCCACCTCTGGAACTTTGAAATTCAAGAGAATGAGAAATTGAATACTTAAAAACTTCAAGTGATTCTGATAAACACAGTCTGAGAAACAGAATTATAGATTGACCTTAGCCAATTTGCACACATGCCTTTTAGATTCTTTTTGTAAAACATCGTCAGTCACTGAAAAGTTTGGGATGCATGAGAATTAGCTACTCTCCTATAGCTTTGCCCCCAGAGGGCAAAAGAAGGGAAGTCACAGGACAAGTTATGATGCCCATAAACATATTTATTAAATGAACAATTATTACCAAGAAAGCACAGCACTGTTCATAAACATTCTTCTGCAAGCTCAGTGAGGTCCCAGCTCTCTAACTTGCTGCACCTTGAATCAAATGTTCTCCCGAAGCAGCGACGCTGAATGGTGGGATTCAGCTACACCCAGAGCTGGTGCCAGGTGACAGAAAGCCTCCTCAGCGAATGACTGGCACAGGATCACTAAGTGATGCTAACTCCAGAAGCATTTCTAAGAACTCAGGTTACAGGCCTCGCCAGAATCTTTTACCATCTTCACACAAGGCTGGGTGTGTCTCTAAAAGGTGTTGTGGCAAACCACAGACCCTTAATGCCTTTAAGTTCACTACTGATATCTCCTTTCTAACATTTCTTTAACATTTATGCTATCTAACAGACCACTGATTTCACCAAAGAAAACCCAGTTTGGCATTCAGTTCATTAGAGGACTTGTTGATTCAGTGAATTAAGTTGATATGGGAATAAATAGTAAAAATCTAAGAGTCACCCCCTCTGGTGTGGGTGTACCGTTTCTGCACTAAAACTCTTGACACCTCTTACTTGTGGATTCCTGATCAGAAGAGGAACTGCCTCTGGATCGCAACTTTAACTAAAACACAAATGCACACAACTCTATACCATCTGTGCTGAAAATTTTAAAGTAGGATTCAAATGTTAAAATAAACACATCTTAAGAAATACTAGTATAGTGGAAAGGAGAATTGACTTTGTTCTAAAACACGAGCTTTGGAATCCTGCATACCTGATTTTGAATATGGCTTTATCACTTAATTAGTGGATCCTTTAATACTGTATCTTACTTTCTTCATCTATTAAATGGCAATAGAATCTGTTTTCTGAACACTGTGTGGCATAAACTTAAACCTGGGATCTGACCCTAGGAAATGCTAAATGCTGACTGACTTTCCAATGCATCTTGAGCCTTTCTTTTAACTCTGTAAGAGACAGCCTCACAAGGAACACTGGAGACTTCAGACCATTATTTATTTAATGGCCTCTCATCAACTTCTGCACCACTCAAAGTATTTCTTCCCCACACTCACTGAAGAAAAGTATTTTTCCTGCTCACTGAAAGCCTCAAGTAAAGGCTTTCCTGCCGTCCTACACTCTGTTTTGTTTCCAAACCCTTAAATACGTCCACATTTTGTTTCTTTTGAAGTTAAGTCCCGGTTGTGTAGCTTTCTTTGCAGCCCAGGCTGGGCCGTTTCACTCCAGTGTGCAATTTTATCTCTCTGTGCTTGCTCCCTGCTAATGCCGGCAAAGTCTTAGTCCTCCTTTGTAACATCCATGATCAGATGATGTTTAATCACCAAGAATTCTTTTAATTTTTTTTTTCTTGGGGATAAGCAGACAAAGAGATCCGTTATTTGGCATGTTTCTTCAGTAAAGTGTGTTTTAGCTGCTTTAACATGTTTTATTTTCCTCCAACTAGAATTTTTTTAGATAACACTCCATTAATGTTAATAATCAAAAGAATGTTAAACACAATAATTAAATTTACCTATTGACTGTTTACGTGGTAATAAGCTTTCTGATACAGGCCGGAATCCATGGCTATGAGACAGCAGTATGATTTTTAAATTTCTAAATTTTCTTTGTTGTGGTCATTTTTATTTCCTCTTTTGTTATCATTAAAAGAAAAAGGAGCTGTGGGCTGAAGAGGAGAGATAAGAAGCTTCTAGAGCCAGTCTTACTGGAAGAGGAGTTCTAAAGAACTCAATGGGGAAGCAGGCAGGTCTTAGGAAGGTACCAAAGCAAGTGGTGAAGGCAAGAGAAAAAGAAAGCAGTGGAGCTGGCCTGAGTTTGATAGGATAGGATTTGTGTTAATGAAGTTTAATAAGAGGGCACATCTCTTTCCAGCTCACCAGTACATAACTGTGTTGGTCAGTTTTGGCTGCTATAAGAGAATACTATAGGTTGAGTGGTCTAAACAACATAAATATGTTTTTCATGGTTCTTGAGGTTGGGAAGTCTAAGACCAAGGTATCAAAATGCGGGCAGATTCCACGTCTGCTGAGGGCACATAATGAGAAGCTGCAGACAACCATTTTGTTATTGTATGTTCTCATCGAAGAAAAATAGAGACAGAGAGAGAAAGACAGAGAGCACACACTCTTAAGTCTCTTCTTATGAGTGCACCAGTCCCATCATAGGGGCTCCACCCTCATGACCTAATTAGCCCCCAAAGGCCCCACTCCTAATACCACCCACAGGGGCTCGGGGTTTCAATATGTGAATTTTGAGGGACACAAACATATAGTCTATAATAATGGCCTCTCAATCCTCATTGAAATAGACCATGGATTTTAAATATTAGGTTGTGCAAAACCAGTTGGGGTTTTTGCTATTGAAAGTAAAGGCAAAAACGAGCTAACCAGATAGGTATGTAAATATAGATTTTTATCAAGTAGTTATGTTTTAAAATAATTAGGGGATGTGGTTATCAGGCTCCTTAGCTATTTATTATAGGAAAATACCAACACTCCTTCAAGCATTTGGCTGCCTGAAAATTTCTTAGTGATGGAATACACTCCATGAAAAGCCTCCCAGATAGTTTCCCAGAAATCCTTGGTTTGGCTCATCCATCAAAGAATACGAACTTGCAGCATCCCATTCAGAATCCACTTGTCAGCACTGTGAAGTATCAGCTGCCTTGCTTTTGTACCAACAGGAAATCTATTGTTTAGAAGTTTGTTTTCTAGCTCTTTTTCATTGTTCTCCCAAAAAGAAAAATAATGGAATGAGACACATTTTATCAAATGATATAAGTTAGACAATGTGTCATTTCAGGAGTGTGCAAATTGAATCCTAAACAAACTTTTTGAAGGTACGTATTGATTTTCTAGGGATGCCGTATCAAAGTACCACAAACACGGTGGCTTAAAACAACATAGTTCTATTCTGTCAATGTTCTGGAGGCTGGAAGTCTAAAATGGAGGTTCAACAGGATCCTGAGGTGTCTGAAGGCCCCAGGGGAGGATCCTTCAACTCCTCTGGCTTCTGGTGGTTACCAGTAATCCTCGTTATTCTCTGGCTTATAGATACCTCCCTCCAGTCTCTGCCTCCATCTTCACATAGTCTCCTCCCCTTTGTGTTTCCGCATCTGAATTTCCTTCCTCTGATAAGGACACCACTCATGGGATTAGGTATCATCCTAATCATTATCACCTCATCTTAACCTGATTGTATCTGTAAGAACCCTATTTCCCAATAAGGCCACATTCATAGGTTTCACAGTTAGGACTTCAGTGTATCTTTTTGGAGGATACAATTTAGCACATAGTAAGGTATAAATGCTTTATTTTACAACCCCCTCTAATGAAAAATTAGCAGACTTCCTAAAGGAGATTCATACTTCTAATTTTATATTATCTATTCTCAAAGATGGCTCTTATGAAGTTAAAAGTCAAACACATACTTTGAGAAATGTGGATAACTAAAAGTTAGAGGCATTCAAACAAACAAAAACAAAAAGTATCGTGCATAGTGGATAAAAATGTGCTGGTCATAAGAATTTGATGGTCAAATTTCTGAATGTGATTTTGTAACCTCTGCGTAGGACCACGTATAGAATTGCAAGGAAACCAATTTTAAAATTCTCCAAGGGAATTTCATGTCCATATGCATAAGAGAGAGAACTTATCTCTGATAAATATTGGAAAGCTTTGTGTAAAAAAACAAAGTGTAAATGATAAGAAAATGTATCATTGGTTTGAAAGCACATTCTACGTGGAACTAACCGAATGTTGTATCGTTACATTTGGGTCCTTACACATGTAATGTAGAGAGAAGAGAACACCCAGCTAAGACTTGGGGTTAGCAACCCTCGGAGCAGGATTATACTTAGGGACAAGGGGAAAGAATCTGGCTTCATTGCTTTGGTTGACCCGAAAAATTTTCAGGAACAAAGGAATTTGTAACTTGACCTTGATATGCAGCACCATGGGAACCTCCCACTACCAAATAAATGAAATCATTAAAGACTTTACTTGTAGATAGTAATAATACTGGAAATAAAACAACCACACACACACAAAGAGTGCAATTAAAAGAAGAAAAAAATCTTAAATTTGCTTTCATTTTTCCTTAGAATGTAGTTCCCTTTCCAAAATTACATGTATTTAAGAATAAATTAAGTCATCTTTTTGTCATACTGTACTTGTCTTGGAATTTTGTACGATGGGCATCTACTAAACAGTGAAGCATAAGCTTAAAACCATAGAAATATTACAAAGTGTTCCCAGAGAGTTGTTTACGCTAAAACAACATGAAAAGTTGAAGAGAACACCACTGGCACCCCATCGATATACATTAAATCCCTTAGCAGCAGTAAGAAATGTCCTCACATTTAACATATAAATGCTGGGCAAGTCAGCTGTCTTATATCTAAAATCTTCTCATAAGAAATGCCTTCAGGCCAGGCATGGTGGCTCAAGCCTGTAATCCCAGCACTTTGGGAGGCCGAGGCGGGCAGATCACCTGAGGTCAGGCCCCAGCCTGGCCAATATGATGAAACCCTATCTCTACTAAAAAAAACCACAAAAATTAGCCAGGCATGGTGGCACACGTGCCTGTAGTCCCAGCTACTTGGGAGGCTGAGGCATGAGAATTGCTTGAACCCAGGAGGCAGAGGTTGCAGTGAGACAGGATCACACCACTGCACTCCAGCCTGGGTGACAGAGCAAAACTCCATACCCCACCTGCCCCCCCAAAAAAGGAAATGCCATCAATTAAATATGGTTATTTCCTTCAAAATATAAGTCCTTAAACTCAAACTGTAATTAGATTAATGTTTGATTTTTCTCTACACTGGCTGAAATAGTAAATCTTTTTATCTTTTTTCTAGGCCTGCTTTTGCAAATGTTTTTGAATTCGCTTTGATGTTTTCATTCATACTGTCTGTTATAGAACTAAGGCCTACATTCATTCATTTATATCCAAAGAGATTATGGGCAACTAACAAGTAGTAGAGCTTGGATTAATAAATATTTTCTGAAAACCTGGCATTATTGTTCATGTTGAGGTAGTGAACAAATCAGGGGAAAAAGTGCTTGCTCTTGGAAGATTACATTCTAGGCCAGATAGTAAACCAATAACATTGGTTAAATGAGTGTATTTGGGGGAAAATTAATCAGGGAGGGGACAGGAAGTTCTTGGGAGGGGATTGAGGATTATCTTTAAATGGCCAGAGAAACCTTTGATTAAGAAGATAGCATTTGAGCAAACCCCTCAAAGGAGTGAGAACACACACACCATGAGAAGATGGGAGAGAAGAACACTCTTGGTAGAGGGGAAAGCAAGTGGAACCCGATATCCAGCTGGTGTGTGCAGGGAGCGATTAGGAAAGGGAGTCAGTGTGGCTGAGAAAAGGTGAGGTTGGATTGTGAAGGGTCTTTAACAATGACTGAGAAGGTTGGACCGAGTGAATCTAGTTTATTTTAAAACAGTCTCTCAGGCTGCTGTTTTGGTAAAAGGCTGTAGTTGGATGAGGGAGAACAGTGGCAACTATTGCAGTAATCCAGATGAAAGAAAATCGACTAGATTGTAGCAGTGGAGCCAGTAGGTAATGATCAATTCTGCATACACATTTGGAGGTCCAGCCAGCAGGACTTGCAGACAGGTGAGATATGGGGTGTGAAAGCCAAAGGGTCAAGGATGACACCGGTCTTCCTGACGAAAAGGCTCATACCTCCCCTTTCCACTGTTTTACACTTTCTCCTTCCCCTTTCACAATTTGAGGTCCACTTCACTGTGTTTCCCTGAAAATGACTTTTGACCTATACATCCTAAAACTAAGGAATTTGTTCTGTATGTGGTCATAGTTCCACCAAAATTAACGGAACCATGGACAGCTCCCTCCCAAACAAAATTCCCAGCGTCCTGTCTCTTCTAGTTTCTTTTGATGGGTTCTCAGTCAGTTCCGAAATTCCTCAGATCAAGTCTTGGCTGAATGCTCTTTCTGCTGCATCTAGGGTCAAGAATCTACTCATCTAAAACCTGCTATGGTAAATTAAAATTCCAATCAGTCTCTAATTTGGGGACCTTGCCATTTAGAAATAAGCAAATGGAGAACCCTGACTTAAAGCTAAGAAGCTGTTATACTAAAAATAGCCTTTAAAAATATTGATTCACAAATAACCTCCTCAAGCATATACTTCCACCTTGAAAATACCACCTAACTGTAATCTTTTCCTTTTGGCCTTTGTTCCATCAGTGTTCCAACAATACTACTGGGGTTGGAGGGGGGTAGAAAGTAAACTATTTATCGCCTCTTAAAATCTAAACTGGAAATTAGCTCTCATCCACATTTACATAGTGCTGAATATCCTTCATTAATGCTAAAGTACTTGGTTACCCTATCTCACTTTTGTGTAATATGCCTCTCTTTGAAATGCTAATTTAGTATTAAAAGCAAAAGCCAACTTTTTCTAACCAAATGACTAACAATTTATTAAATTTTAGAGTGAGATGAGGAAATCACAACTTAGAACCTTAGCAATTTCTGTAAGTTGTTAATGGTTAATTTAATTTGGCTTGGCTAATATTATATAATTGGAAATTATTTTTATTTACTGCTTCCAAACCTTTTAGTTAACATTTTGTTTTATATTTTTCTTAGTATTTTTAATATTTTCCCTCTGGTCCATTATTATTATGTGATTATTTTTTCCACTTTTTTCGTAGAGGAGTTTGTCCTCCCCTAATTGTAGTGAGTCACCTAGAAACTCTGTGTCAATTAACATTTTAAGCAGTACCTGATTATGCAAAAACAACTCCTTGTCCTTGAAAATATTCAAATCAATATTTGCTATTTTATGCAATGTTCCTCATTTTAAAAAACACTTTTTTTAACTTTTATTTTTGGTTCAGGGGTACATGTATAGGGTTTTCTATATAGGTAAATTATGTCTCATGGGGGTTTGATGTACAGATTATTTCATCACCCAGGTGTAATAAGCATAGTACCATATAAGTAGTAGCTTTTAATACAAAAAAATTTTTAAGCCATCACTTTCTATTATGAGAATATCAATGAGAAAAAAATTTTCAATCTAATTCCCAAAGAACTTTCAGGCTTTTTTTATTTGTTTACCAATTATATGCATAAAAGAAAAGAGCACAAAAAAAGGAATTACACATTGAAATTGAACATATTAACCTCATCAGAAACTGTTTTTCCACTTGGAGATTGGAAAGTATTTATTATGTAGCCCAAGATTCCCAAGACTTTTTTTTATAGCTCCCACAAGTAAAATTTGATTAGAGCTATGTTTTAAACTAATTATCATTACAATTATTGTGATATTCTACATGCCTTTGCCTTTTTCTGGCTCTTACAACTGGCTTGCATTGGAAATACTCAGATTTAAGGAATGATTACAAGAAGTTTTCAAAGAAAAATATCATAAAATTTCAAAAACTCTTTGACTTTCAAGAATTGGCTTAACCCTGCGGCCATTTACCATTGACATGTTCTGCTTTCTTTTTTCTTGATACTGATTTTGCTCTTTTAAAATGATTAGCCTAAAAGAACATCAAGATCTGACTGTGAAAATAATACGGATAACACTAAAGATAAGTAAATTAAATATTATTTTGTATGTGAATTTTTTAGCAAATATCTTCTATATCTAAAATGCTCTTAAGTAGAGAAACTACTGGCCAAATTTTTAAAACTGTAATGCCTTGTATATCTGGTGCAAATATGTGATAGGTGTCAAGTGATTACTTGGGAAGCATAAATAAGTCTACAGTTTATCCTATGAAGTTGATTTTATTGTGCTTTAACAAAAAGAAAAAGAAATCTTTAATGTATCCTTCATGTTTCATGAATAATCAGTGTTAAAAAAAATTCAAAGAGACATGTTAAAAGCATAGTAAGGAAGGCTTTATTCAGAACCATTGCAATAGATACAGGGACCACTGCAATATAATTTTGCAGCGAGGAAGAGAGATTGGGCTCAACTCCAAGTATAGGAAGGACAAGCGGGAATTTATAGCAAAAAGCAGGGTTGGGTCAGTGGATAGAAAATTACTACAAAGAAACAATCCAGGAGTATAGGGGTTTCTAACCAAAGCCACCTAACCAGAATTCTTGCCAAAAACAGGCTAGAGTGATCAGACATCATCTGTGGGGTGGTGCAGGAGGAACGTGGTCAGGTATCAAGGATGATGAGATACTGAGAACGATCAGCTCTCAAGGGCGGGGAGTTCTGGCTAAACTGACTTCGCAGGGTTCTTTTGCTAAAACTGGATTTTACAAGAGAGTAAACAGATGGGCCTAGGAGAAAGTTCAGAGCCTGATTAAAATTTGGTAAAGAAAAGAATCTTCATCATGGGTTAGTTCAGGTACTCTAAGAAGCAGAGGTTAAGACAGAATCAGACAATCAAAAGATTTATTGGGCAAGTACTTCTAAAGGAAAAAGAGGTTAAAGAGGAGCTCTGACATTCAAGAATGGTGAAAGGGAAGGATGAGTGAGTGGGTAGGGCCCCAGATGGTTGCACAGCTGAGGCAGTATTGGCCAGTCTCTAGCAAAAATTGTCTGTTAGAATCCTGTGTCAGAAAGAAATGGCCTGGCTCTCTTACTCCTGCTGTGTTCAGACTGAGGGCAGTCCAGGCAGCGTGGCCTCAGCTGGTAAGCATCTGTGGACCCTATTTAGAGCAGCCAACTCTGACCTCAGGTAGGAAGGGAAATGTCACCAGGGCCCTTCCTTAGTAGCCACAAGTCATTTGGTAATGACACAAAAATGCAATACATAAAGGTAGTTACAGGAAGTTATTTTAAAGCACTTCTTGACAAACCAGAAAGAAGTTTGTGTTTTTTTTTCCCCAACAAAGTTGATATTTTTGTTTGCATATCTAATACTCTATGACAGAACAAGTAGGTAGAGGAGATGAATTTAGCATACTTACTTTTTTGAACTGCTGGAAATTCAAGTAATATTCTTATATGTACAGAAACAAACAGAATGGGATCCCGTGCCTATAACTGTGATGGTCTGTTATTGCTTATTTTGTCTGCTTGCCTGTTTTGTTTCTCCTTTAGGCAATCAATTATTTGTATGTAAATTTAATTATTAAATTTATTATTATTTACATGTCTCTCTTTTAACTAAAAAGTTAAGTTCTTTCTGGTTCTGTGGCTTGTTTTCCATTGTTGAGTTTTTAAAAAGATCAGATTTTAAAATAAGTTAGTTTTTCTAGTTTGGTTTACTCACGTAGTAATTAAATAGAGCTTTTGCTGAACTCACCCCTCCTTTTATTTTTAATTTCTCTTTCTACTTTGGGTTCCCTTTGTCCATCCCAGCAACCAGATGTTTCTCAAGTAATGAAAAATATTTTCTACTCCTCCTGGGAATTTTATTTTATTTTATTTTTTATTATTATTATACTTCAAGTTTTAGGGTACATGTGCACAATGTGCACGTTAGTTACATATGTATACATGTGCCATGCTGGTGTGCTGCACCCATTAACTCGTCATTTAGCATTAGGTATATCTCCTAATGCTAACCGTCCCCCCTCCCCCGACCCCACAACAGTCCCCAGAGTGTGATATTCCCCTTCCTGTGTCCATGTGTTCTCATTGTTCAATTCCCACCTATGAGTGAGAACGTGTGGTGTTCAGTTTTTTGTCCTTGCGATAGTTTACTGAGAATGATGATTTCCAATTTCATCCATGTCCCTACAAAGGACATGAACTCATCATTTTTTATGGCTGCATAGTATTCCATGGTGTATATGTGCCACATTTTCTTAATCCAGTCTATCATTGTTGGACATTTGGGTTGGTTCCAAGTCTTTGCTATTGTGAATAGTGCTGCAATAAACATACGTGTATTTGTGTCTTTATAACAGCATGATTTATAGTCCTTTGGGTATCTACCCAGTAATAGGATGGCTGGGTCAAATTGTATTTCTAGTTCTAGATCCCTGAGGAATCGCCACACTGACTTCCACAATGGTTGAACTAGTTTACAGTCCCACCAACAGTGTAAAAGTGTTTCTATTTCTCCACATCCTCTCCAGCACCTGTTGTTTCCTGAGTTTTTAATGATCGCCATTCTAACTGGTGTGAGATGGTATCTCATTGTGGTTTTGATTTGCATTTCTCTGATAGCCAGTGATGATGAGCATTTTTTCATGTGTCTTTTGGCTGCATAAATGTCTTCTTTTGAGAAGTGTCTGTTCATGTCCTTCGCCCACTTTTTGATGGGGTTGTTTGTTTTTTTCTTGTAAATTTGTTTGAGTTCATTGTAGATTCTGGATTTTAGCCCTTTGTCAGATGAGCAGGTTGCAAAACTTTTCTCCCACTTTGTAGGTTCCCATCCCACTCTGCTGGTAGTTTCTTTTGCTGTGCAGAAGCTCTTTAGTTTAATTAGATCCCATTTATCAATTTTGGCTTTTGTTGCCATTGCTTTTGGTGTTTTAGACATGAAGTCCTTGCCCATGCCTATGTCCTGAATGGTAATGCCTAGGTTTTCTTCTAGGGTTTTTATGGTTTTAGGTCTAACATTTAAGTCTTTAATCCATCTTGAATTAATTTTTGTGTAAGGTGTAAGGAAGGGATCCAGTTTCAGCTTTCTACATATGGCTAGCCAGTTTTCCCAGCACCATTTATTAAATAGGGAATCCTTTCCCCATTGCTTGTTTTTCTCAGGTTTGTCAAAGATCAGATAGTTGTAGATATGCAGCGTTATTTCTGAGGGCTCTGTTCTGTTCCATTGATCTATATCTCTGTTTTGGTACCATTACCATGCTGTTTTGGTTACTGTAGCCTTGTAGTATAGCTTGAAGTCAGGTAGCGTGATGCCTCCAGCTTTGTTCTTTTGGCTTAGGACTGACTTGGCGATGCGGGCTCTTTTTTGGTTCCATATGAACTTTAAAGTAGTTTTTTCCCATTCTGTGAAGAAAGTCATTGGTAGCTTGATGGGGATGGCATTGAATCTATAAATTACCTTGGGCAGTATGGCCATTTTCACGATATTGATTCTTCCTACCCATGAGTATGGAATGTTCTTCCATTTGTTTGTATCCTCTTTTATTTCATTGAGCAGGGGTTTGTAGTTCTCCTTGAAGAGGTCCTTCACGTCCCTTGTAAGTTGGATTCCTAAGTATTTTATTCTGTTTGAAGCAATTGTGAATGGGAGTTCACTCATGATTTGACTCTCTGTTTGTCTGTTATTGGTGTATAAGAATGCATGTGATTTTTGTACATTGATTTTGTATCCTGAAACTTTGCTGAGATAAGAAATTTTGTAAGACTTTTTGGCTTTCAAGACCCTAAAAATGGTTGAATATCTAATGGGAAAATTTGAAGTGTTTTTGGGGAAATTTGAAGTGTTTTTAGGTATAATGTGTGGGATTGAGGGTCCGGGAATTTAGGCCAAAGACTTTCCTAGTAACATATAATTCAGCCTACTTCAAAAGTTAGCCTTAAACTTACATTGTCTTTAATACTTTTCCAATCAAAAAAATCCCCAAGCCTCTCTGACATCTAGATCTTTCTATCTCATTCACTGAAGTTAAATACAATTAGTGCCAAAGTTACTATGGCATCATTCCTCTGTAGAACTTAATCTATAATAACCAGTAAGTTCACTACCTCACAATTGGGAAGAGAGACCTTCTCTGTTTTTAGACACCCTTATTAGATCAGTATGCAAATATAAAATTTGAGTAAAGATATTCTCTGCCAGCATTGGACTATATGGTATTATTTCCAGGAGAAGCTACATGCTTCAAAAAGTCAGCAATAAAAAAAAAAATCCTTTAATATCTTTGGAACTTTTCCTATTATCTATGGGCTATTGAACAAAGAGATGGACTCAAGGATTCCATATGTATACATGATTTTAGGTTTAATATTTAAAATAAAAGAATATTTGAAGGGCAGAAAATACATGTAAAGGGGGAATTGCCCCTAGTAAATATATAGTCAATGTTATATGTAGAAAAAAATGTTGGAAGATCAAAAGAAGGAAAAAATTCAATTGGGCTTTAGGGTGGAAATGCAAGCTATCAGGCTGAATGAAGCAGACGGGTAATAACCACTATGTAAAAGCTTAGAAGAAATAGAAATAGTTCTACTATTTGCTAGCCTAGTGCAAAAGTTGATTCGAAGAGCAGTGGGCAGAGATTTTGTGTGTTTGCTAAGATAATACATGTTTCATACCAGGCTTTCACACTTTAATGTCCTTAAGAACCTTCTAGGGTACTTTACAAAAAAAAAAAAAAAAAAGTCTTTGGCTGCCTTCTTAGTAAAATTCTGATTCAGTAGGTATGAGGTTGGGCCCAGAAATATGCATTTTAAACAGATTTTCTTTTTTTCTTATCATTTTATTGGCCAAGAAATCATATGCTATAAAATTCACCATTTAAAGTGAATAACTTGGTGTGATACTCCGAATATTCACAGAGTCTTGTAACTATCACCACAATCTAATTTTCGGCCATTTTCATGACCCCAAATAGAACCCCAAAACTATTAGAAATCACTCTGAATTCTTCCACAAAACCCCAAATCGTAGGCAACCACGGCAACCACGAATCTACTACTTCCTGTCTCTATGGATTTGTTTATTCTGGACTTTTTTTTTTTTTTTTTTTTTGAGACAGAGTCTTGCTCTGTCCCCCAGGCTGGAGTGCAGTGGCATGATCTCGGCTCACTGCAAGCTCCGCCTCCCGGGTTCACGCCATTCTCCTGCCTCAGCCTCCTGAGTAGCTGGGACTACAGGAGCCCGCCACACGCCCGGCTAATTTTTTGTATTTTTAGTAGAGATGGCGTTTAACTGTGTCAGCCATGATGGTCTCGATCTCCTGACCTCTGATCCACCCGCCTCAGCCTCCCAAAGTGCTGGGATTACAGGCGTGAGCCACCACACCTGGCCTTATTCTGGACATTTTATATAAATTGAATTGCTTAAAAAATTATCTTTTATGACTGGCTTCTTTCATTTAGCATGTTTTCAACCTTTATTCAACTGTAGTTTATTCAATTCATGTAACAGTACTTTATCCCTATTTATTGCCAAATATTTTTACATATATGTATATACATATATGTGTGTATATATATGTGTGTATACATATATATGAGACACTTATTCATTCACAAGTGATGGAGTTTTGGGTCTTTCCACCTTTTGGCTATTATATATAATGCTGATATGAACATTAATTTACCTATTTTTGATTGCACATATGTTTTTCTTTCTCTTGGGTATATACCTAGGAGTGGAATTGCTGTGTCATATGATAAGTCTATGTTTATTGTTTTGAAAAATTACTAAATTACTTCCTGGGTGATCTCAATGCTTGTCATTCTCTCTCCATACTTTGAGAAACACTAATGTAGGCAAAGATTTGGGGATAAAAATGTAGGAAAAAAACAAATGTCTGTTATTATCAGACATTTGTTGCACTCTGATAATAAAAACCTTAGATTTCATGAAATGGAGAGGAGGATTAGAAGAGAGGCAAAGAAAGCATCAGAAAAATAAGACACTGGATAATGATGTGAGGTTAGCATCATCAAGGGACAAGTTAGAAATCCACATTTTAAAAAATTAAAACAAAATTATAGCTAAGTGATTAAGTAGTATAAGAAAGTTTATAATGTGTGTTTATTAAAAGGAGTGTTAAGATTTTATTTATGTGGAGATGATACAATAAGGTTAGCCCTCAATCACTTATTAAAATCAATTTATTAAGATTTAAATACATATAGTAAAATTTAGTTACACGAATTTTGATTCATATACTTTTGAAAGAATATAAATAATGGTAACGGATCCCATTGTATGATTACAGAATAAAGTAGTTATATACAAGAATGTTTATTGCAACAACATAGTCATCAATAACTAGAAAATGCCTAAATGAGCAACAGCAGAAAGATGCTAAAAGATACTGTGGCAAGTCTATAAAATGGAGTATTATGCAGCCACCCAAAGTCGTGATTTTGAATAATATTAAATGGTATACAAAAAGGTTAATGACATAGTCTTATTGCAATGGGGATAAAATATTTTAATACAATACAAATTTATAATTGCATTCTCCTAGACCTGTCTAATATTTTCCATATCAGTGAATGTGCCATTGCCCTCCATCCAGGATAAAGAATGACTTTAGTCTTAGTTTTATCTTAATGCAACAAATCCAGTCCTTCACCCAATCCTATTTAAGTATTTATTTATTATCCATAACTATTCATCTCATAAATGATTTTATAATCCATCTGCCTCTCAGCTGTTTCACTGCCACTGTGATAAACCAGACTACCATATTCTCTCTGCAGGACTGCTTAACAGTTCCCTGATTTATCCACTGACGGTTTCAGTCCATTCTAGTTAGTCCTCTTTCAATCTATCTTCCACTGACTTTGTCTTGCCAATTTCCCCTACCCTTTCCACCCTCACTGACTTCCTGTTTCTCTTGTGATTGCAATACTTATTTATTTGTTTAGCAATGCAAATTTATAACCTGAATTACAAGGACCTTGCATCGTATGGTTCCTTTCTGTGTTACACACATCATTCATCCTCACCCAGCCTTCTGCTTCTGTGCACCAGCATCATGTTGGCCTTCCTTGAGCTAATAGAGTGTTATGCTGCCTTTGTCACAGGGATCCTACACATTCTACTATTTCCTCTGTCTGGAATGTTCTTCAGCCTAAGATGACTACTTCTTTCTCAAATCTCACTTTAATCAACACTTCTTCAGGGAAGCCTTCCCTTTGTCTCAGCCCCTGGCTAAGGTCAGGTTCTTTAGTTTTGAGTATATATAATAGATTATAAAGATATATGAATTAGGGAGATTATTTGTTTAATGTCTGCCTACCTCACTGTCGCTTAAACTTCAAAAAAAGGATATATATATATATATGTGTGTGTGTGTGTGTGTGTGTATATGTATATATATGTGTGTGTGTGTGTGCGTGTATATATGTATCTCTTTTTTTTCCTTGGCTTCTCTTTTCCTGGTTTTCCCTTCTCTTAACTTTCTGCTTTCTACGGTTTGTCTCTTTCTTCTTACCTAGTTTTGTACCCACCCATTCCTCACTGTAAAAGAAAGTAAAACAGAATTTTAGCAATACTATCTCTGATTCGAAGAATGAATAATTTTAATGTTCTCCTTTCTTTTTTCGTTAAAATTTTCTACAGTAGCCATTTGTAGGTATAAAACCAACATGACAAGCACTTTTATAGTACTAAAAAATAATAAGTGAAAACTACTTGAATATATTTCCATATAAAAATGTAAAGTTCGCTGGGCGTTGTGGCTCACACCTATAATCCCAGCACTTTGAGAAGCTGAGGTAGGAGAATCACTTGAGCCCAGGAGTTCATGACCAGCCTGAGCAATGTGGTGAAACCCCATCTTTGCAAAAAATACAAAAATTAGCTGGGCATGGGTACGCGCACCTGAAGTCCCAGCTACTTGGGAGGCTGAGGCAGGAGGGTCTCTTGAGCCTTGGAGTGCAGTGATCCAAGATCGTGCCACTGCACTCCAGCCTGGAGAACAGAGCAACCCTCTTTTGTTTGTTTGTTTGTTTTTTTAAAGACAAAAATTATAAGACAAAAATTTAAAGACACTGTTATACTATGCAGCCATAAGAAAGAATGAGCTCATGTCCTTTGCAGGGACACAGATGAAGCTGGAAAACACAGGAACAGAAAACCAACACCACATGTTCTCACTCATAAGTGGGAGTTGAACAATAAGAACACATGGACACAGGGAGGGGAACATCACACACTGGGGCCTATCGGGAGGTGGGGGGCAAGGGGAGGGAGAGCAATAGGACAAATACCTAAAGCATGTGGGGCTTAAAACCTAGATGGCGGGTTGATTGGTGCAGCAAACCACCATGGCACATGTACAGCTATGTAATAAACCTGCACGTTCTGCACATGTATCCCAGAACTTAAAGTAAAATTAAAAATATATACGTATATATTTAAATTTTCAAAACAGGAGAAAAATGTTTACTTTAGAAAAGCATGTCTTTAATTTTTTCTAATTTTACATAGACAAGAGTTTCATGTGGTAGGAAACAAACTAGATAAGATAAAGGGAGGTGAAATTTGTCAGGATTATTTTTAAAAATATAAGTGGATAAAAGTAATCTTCTGACATAGCACTTGTGTTTAAATGTACATTTGTTACTTACAGTTACTAATAATTTATTCATGTAACAAAAATTGTTGAGGTTTCTTCTTTTTTGTCATTGGTGAGTGGATTTTACTTTCCAGTATAGAATGTCCATAAACGCAATGTGTCCAGTAAGTTTAATTTTAAAAGGCTTTATATTGCATCAATAATTTCAGAATTCTTTACCATACTTCTTAATTCTTTAAAAACATTAAGTATATATACATTTTTATTAGGGAAGTTAATCTCTTGTGTTATGTCAAAGTATATAATGGTAAATATCAACTAAATACATTGTTTCTTTTATTTTTCCTTTGCACTTATATATAAGTAATGTTATTTTGTTTTAAGACAACAGTCTCACTCTGTTGCCCAGGCTGGAGTGCAGTGGCATGATCTCAGCTCACTGCAACCTCTGCCTCCCAGGTTCAAGTGATCCTCCCACCTCAGCCTCCCTAGTAGCTGGGACTATAGGCGTGCACCACCATGCCCAGTTAATTTTTGTAATTTTAGTAGAGATGAGGTTTCACCATGTCGGCCAGGCTTGTTTAGAACTCCTGAGCTTAGGTAATTTGCCCACCTCGGCCTCCCAAATTGCTGGGATTACAGGCATGAGCCGTGACACCCAGAAATGAGTAATGTTAAATATAGGATTTCTATATTGAAAATATTATAGATATAATAATATTAACTTTTAAGATAGAGGGAAAAAATCCAAATTATTAGGATAGTCTTCAGCTATATAATTATAGAAATCCAACTTAGTAACGATTTAAACTGGATGAAGGGGCTGGTATGGCATTTTGTGGTTTCACGAAGTATGAATTCTATTTCAAGCATCAGCAAACTCTTTTATATAGGGTCATATAGTAAATATTTTAAGCTTTTTGGGCCATGTGTTCTTTCTCACAACTACTCAACTTTGCTTTGTAGCAGAGAAACAGCCATAGGCAATACAAAAATAAATGGGTATGTTTGTATTCCAGTAAAACATTTACAAAAACAAGTGGTGGATTGCATCTAGCATGCAACCTCTAATTTAACAAGTTCTAATCTATCTAGATTTTCCACCATCTTTAGTACATTGTTTCTCACTCTTGGTCAAGATGTCTTCCATCCCCATTCCATACAGCAGGAAGAAAGAAGTGAAAAGAGTCATGGAGCCCCTTTCTTTAAGGACACTTCCTGAAAGATGCTGAAGATATTTCTACACATATCCTGTCAGCCAGAGCTTAGTCCTGTGGCTACAACTAGTTGCAAAGCAAGCTGGGAAATAAAATTCTTCCAGACATTCATGAATCCAGTGCCCCCTCCCCTCAAATAAAAGGTGCAGGGAGATTTTTTACTGAAAAGATCATGAAAACAGATTGTAGGGAAAACTGACAGTATGTACCAATATTAGTACACAGAAATACCTATATTAACCCTTTTTCCAATACATAGGACATTTTTATGTTCCTTCAAGTGAGACCTTCCCAAAATCTCATAAGTTATTGCATCCATCTCAAATCCATCTCTGATGATGTACAGAACTCTACGTCAGGTCAAGGTTTCATTTCTTGTGGTAGAGTAGTATATAAATTAAAAACCTGTTTACTGTGAAATACACTCCTCTTATGAAAATAAAAGCATGAGAGACACATAGCCATTGCTGGTCCATAGCAATTTTAAAATCTTGCTAGGCAGGAATAGCAAAGAGGCTATTTTTCCAGTGCCTTTTGTGACCCAAAGTTTCACTCTCGCAGAGGTCCCTATGAGAAGCCATATCGTGATCCTATCTGAGAAGGGCATTCTGCTTTTTCCTGTCTAGTGGGCTGCATGCTTTCATAACTGACCTCCTGCTGATACAAATTAGTGATTAAGGACTGCTGAAGTCATTGAAAGGGCACAAAACTTTGCAGGCCATGCTTATGGTTTCCTTGGCAATGTAAGTTTCTCAAAAATGTTATAGTCTTCTAATCTATTTTCTTTCAGGCAGTTCTATGTGCAAATAACCACACCTAAACATCTGTTCTTGACATAGTTTAAAACCTGTTGACTATTCTTTTTCATACTTACCTCTGTGTTCTGCCAATTCCCAGTGGAGGTGAGCCCTCTAATCTGCCTTCAAGAGAACTTGCACCTCCCTCCTTTTCTTCTCTCTGCCTTTCAGCTAATGTCAAACTACCTTGAGGTCCTGAAAAAGAATAAACCTTTAGTGGACGATGATATCCTCAATCTGATCACTGCAACAGTGCTGTGCCCCAGTGTCTGGTAGATAACCCTTACCTGAAGGTTATGAAAGACATCCTGGGGCCACAGGCTTACTTCCTTCTAAAGCTGCCTCTTGGCAGCTGTGGTTTAGACTTACACCATAATGCAGTTTAGGATACAGAGTTATTTTTTATTTTTTTCATTTTTATTTTTTTAACCCTTTCAAGCTTCTGAATTAGGGATTTTCCATCATTTTAGACTGTCAACATAAGAAGAAAGCACCTTCTACTTCACAGTAGCTTTACTCTCATCTCAGCCTTTAGGCTGGTGAGTTCTAGACTAACTTCATCTCTCTCCTGGAGACTTTGCTAAACACAGCAAGAAGGAGCCAGTGCCAGTGCGCAAGAGCACTTGAGTCTTTCCAAGCATTTCTCTTAACATGGAAAGTCTCAGTTGGCACCTAATTTGCCTTCCAAAGACAGCAGTTGACAATATAACCAAATATTTAGCTACGGTATAACAAAGATCTCAGCTTTCCACAGCTAGAGTATCCCAGTCTTCAAGGCCTGGTGTCCACCACAGGCAATTCCATATGCTTTTTAGGCTTTGTCACACATAGCACCCTATTTTTATGTATAGTACAAACTATGGTATGAGTTTGGATTAGGTTCAGCTTGAGTAACAGAGACTGAAATTAACAAGATGAAGATTTCTTCCTTTGTTATATGAGAGAATATAGAATTAGACTGTTCAAGGCTAATGCAGTGTTCCATGGAGTCAGGAAGCTAGGCTTTTTCCATATTTCTGCTTTATATTTAGTACAAGCAAATATCCCAAATGGCAATTTGAGTGCCAGATATTACATCCAAGTTCTAGATAGGAGGAAAAAAGCATCAAAAGATATGGGGTGATTCTCACCCTTCAAGGCCACTCCCCTGAAATCTCATACAATGTTTACGCATGTATCACCTCATTGGCTGGAACATATTAATGTGGCCACATATAGTTGCAAGGGATATTGGATAACCAAATATCCAGGTAAAGATCTAAGTCTATGCAAGGGGGGAAAGTAATTATTGAAGGCTAATTAGCATCTTTGTAATACTCCTATATTTGATATTAAACAGTTTATATTATCTGTGAATTTGATTATAGTTTGTGTGCTCAATTGTATTTAATAAAGTGGCATTCAATATTTATTCCCTCCGTGAGCAAATCTTGAAAATTTGTATACGGCTGTTTAACCTAAGGATATTTTTGCATCAGTGTTCATCAAGGATATTGGTCTAAAATTCTCTTTTTTGGTTGTGTCTCTGCCCGGCTTTGGTATCAGAATGATGCTGGCCTCATAAAATGAGTTAGGGAGGATTCCCTCTTTTTCTATTGATTGGAATAGTTTCAGAAGGAATGGTACCAGTTCCTCCTTGTACCTCTGGTAGAATTCGGCTGTGAATCCATCTGGTCCTGGACTCTTTTTGGTTGGTAAACTATTGATTATTGCCACAATTTCAGCTCCTGTTATTGGTCTATTCAGAGATTCAACTTCTTCCTGGATTAGTCTTGGGAGGGTGTATGTGTCCAGGAATGTATCCATTTCTTCTAGATTTTCTAGTTTATTTGCGTAGAGGTGTTTGTAGTATTCTCTGACGGTAGTTTGTATTTCTGTGGGATCGGTGGTGATATCCCCTTTATCATTTTTTATTGTGTCTATTTGATTCTTCTCTCTTTTTTTCTTTATTAGTCTTGCTAGCGGTCTATCAATTTTGTTGATCCTTTCAAAAAACCAGCTCCTGGATTCATTGATTTTTTGAAGGGTTTTTTGTGTCTCTATTTCCTTCAGTTCTGCTCTGATTTTAGTTATTTCTTGCCTTCTGCTAGCTTTTGAATGTGTTTGCTCTTGCTTTTCTAGTTCTTTTAATTGTGATGTTAGGGTGTCAATTTTGGATCTTTCCTGCTTTCTCTTGTGGGCATTTAGTGCTATAAATTTCCCTCTACACACTGCTTTGAATGCGTCCCAGAGATTCTGGTATGTTGTGTCTTTGTTCTCGTTGGTTTCAAAGAACATCTGTATTTCTGCCTTCATTTCGTTATGTACCCAGTAGTCATTCAGGAGCAGGTTGTTCAGTTTCCATGTAGTTGAGCGGCTTTGAGTGAGATTCTTAATCCTGAGTTCTAGTTTGATTGCACTGTGGTCTGAGAGATAGTTTGTTATAATTTCTGTTCTTTTACATTTGCTGAGGAGAGCTTTACTTCCGACTATGTGGTCAATTTTGGAATAGGTGTGGTGTGGTGCTGAAAAAAAATGTATATTCTGTTGATTTGGGGTGGAGAGTTCTGTAGATGTCTATTAGGTCCGCTTGGTGCAGAGCTGAGTTCAATTCCTGGGTATCCTTGTTGACTTTCTGTCTCGTTGATCTGTCTAATGTTGACAGTGGGGTGTGAGTTTGGAAAATTCATTTAAAGGAGTTCATTTCTTTTTCAAGTTTTCAATTATCCATCATCCTAGCCTGAAGCTTTTTATAACAAATTATTTAGAGTAGTAAAATTAGTTTTTTAAGCAATAGAATATTTTTTAATTACGCATTTATATCTCTGTTATTCCCAATCATATTTCTGTTCTCCACAAACAGCTTTATTCAATAAATTTCTTGCCTTTAATTTGAGAGAAAAATGGACCATTTCCCAAAACATTAGGATCTATTAAAAATAATGTGGATGGTTATCTAAGAGCTTTTTTTTCTTTAGCTTAGAAAGCAAAGGATTATACATTTCTTAGTTTCCGTATGGCAGAACTATTAGGAAAAAAAAAAGAAATAAGATCATGAAGGTATAGTGTGTAGAATAGGAAATTAAGAGGCCAGAGAAAGTATCTTTGGAATTAGGAAGCTGTCTAAGACATTGATGGCTTGAAAAGAAGTAAGGTGTATTAGGTGAACAACTAGATCACAAGGTTCAGGAGAGCAGGAGCTACTCTTGATTTTGTTTATCCCAGTACACTAAAATATAACACAGTGTCTGATGCATGCAAAGCACTCATTATACATCTTTTCAATGAATTCATAAGGATAATTAACCATATTTTAAAAACTATTAGAAATGTTTATATTATTGTGTCCTAGAAGACAACAGTGTGCATGATTTAAGCATTTTTATTTTTTGCAATCACGTTATTAAAGAACTCTAAGTTGCATCATGCCACATCAGATATGTAATCCATTCAGCCTTATGTTTTCATCTCTGGCTGTAGCATTAAAGCTTAATTTATAGAAAGGTGTGTTCTTTCCCTAGATATCAACTTAAAGGTTAAAGACATACTTTAGAACACTTTAGTCTTTCCTCAATAAACATCTCCAGTTTTTCCTCATAACAATTTCATCAAATCTTTCTTCAACTTATTTGTATATTTTAAATTTATATGGTCCCTTAAAAAATCACATGCTGATTTTATTTTTACTTTTTTTTTCTAGTTTATCATTTGTTTTTCAAAGAAAAATATCTTTTAAACTACTTGTTTAATGTTAAACAATGAGCTGGGGGGGCATTTTGTTTTTGTTTTTGTTTTAAGTACTCTATTAATTTTCATTGCCAGTGAAGACCTAACTGGCTAAACAAAGATACACCTCAGCAGTATTCTTGTTTGAAACAACATATGTACCAACTAGGAAAAATGCATTGTTAAAATTCACTGCATGCCTGTAGGTAATGGCAGAAGTGTGGAAAGGCAGCCTCTGACTTTTTAAAACATCCATGTTTCAAAATAATTTTAGGAAAATAAATGTATAGGCCTGGCACAGTGGCTCATGCCTGTAATCCCAGCACTTTGGAGGCTGAGACAGGTGAATCACTTGAGGTCAGGAGTTCAAGACCAGCCTGGCCAATATGGTGAAACTCTGTACTAAAAATACAAAAAATTAGCTGGGCATGGTGGCACACGCCTGCAATCCCAGCTACTCAGGAGGCTGAGGCAGGAGAATCACTTGAACCCAGGAGGTGGAGGTTGCAGTGAGCCGAGATCGCGCCACTACACTCCAGTCTGGGATGGGAGACAGGGCAAGACTCCATCTCAACAACAACAACAACAACAAAAATTAGAGTATTTAAAACTAACTAAACACAACTTATTTATAGTGGTATAATATATCCATTTAATGTTTTGGAATGCCATGTCTGCCTCTGTGAAACTAGACTGTTGGGTTTAATTATGCGGTTCTTGCTTTTCTGAAGAGGTGAAAGAATAAAATATCTTGGTGGGAGGAAAGTCCTAGACTGAGGGAAGGCATGGAAATAGTTTGCTTTATTTACAAAGAACTGAAAATGAAGCGTAACTCCTATTATTGCTGTATAATTATTGATTTGGCTTTTCTTTTTAGCCAGTCAAATGACAGCTAAGATTCCCTAAATAATAGTGGGAAAAAATATGTTAGTCACAGCTTCCATCTATGTGTTGAATACACAGAATGTAATGTTTTCTTATTGTGATTAAACACATAAAGCATAAAAGTTACCATTTTAACTATATTTAAGTGTACAGTTTGGTGACATTAGGTACATTTACCTTGTTATATGACCATCATCACTATTGGTGTCTTCAGGACTTTTCGTCATCACAAATGAAAACTGCTCATTAAAAACTAACTCCCTATTTCTTCCTCCTCCAGCCTCCAGCCTCCACTAACCAGCATTCTATTTTCCTTTTTTTTTGAGACAGAGTCTTGCTCTGTAGCCCTGGCTGGAGTGCAGTGGCACAATCTCGGCTCACTGCAAGCTCCACCTCCTGGGTTCATGCCATTCTCCTGCCTCAGCCTCCCCAGTAGCTGGGACGACAAGCGCACGCCACCACACCCGGCTAATTGCTTTTGTATTTTTAGTAGAGATGGGGTTTCACCGTGTTAGCCAGGATGGTCTCGATCTCCTGACCTGGTGATCCGCCCGCCTTGGCCTCCCAAAGTGCTGGGATTACAGGCGTTAGCCACTGCGCCTGGACACCAGCATTCTACTTGCTATCTTTATGAATTTGAATATTCTAGGTACCTTATATGAGTGGAAACATATAATGTTTGTTCTTTTGTGCCTGGCTTATTTCACATCACGTTTCTTTAGGATCCATATATGTTGCAGCATATGTCAGAATTTTGATTCTTTTCATGGTTGAATCGTATTTCATTGTATGTGTCTATCACATCTTGTTTATTCATTCATGCATCAATGAACATTTGCGGTGTTTCTGCTGTTTCACTATTGTGAATGTACTAATGATATACAAATATTTGTTTGAGCCTCTGCTTCCACTTCTTTTAGATATATACCCAGGAGTGGAATTGCTGGATTACATGTTAATTCTATTTTAAATTTTAGAGGGACTGCTTCACTGTTTCCACAGCAATGACACGATTTTACATCCCACTAGCAGTGTACAAAGGTTCTGATTGTTCCACATCCTTGCCAACACTTGTTATTTTCAAGGTTTTACTTTGTTTTGCTTTTGTGGTAACAGCTCTTCTAGTGGGTGTGAAATGGTTTTCTTTCACAAATGAGGTGAAACGTATAGAAGTGAATGTTTCCTGTCCTCACTTACCCTTGGCTTTTATACTTAGCCCATTTCACATTTCACAATGAGACCACTAGACTATAAGTTCTTTGAGGGTAGGAAGTATGTCTGTCTTATTTACCAGTGCTTTTCAACTTCTAATATAATGGGTACTTAATACATGCTGAATGGGTACATGCATAAATACAAGAATGTATGACAAAAGTAAATGAATAAACAAACAAATGAGTACATCTTAGAATCCAATAGAAAGTATTGCTAATTTTTCTTTTGTTGGTCAGGCAAGCTGAGGAAATTTCTAAGCATCATAAAACCCCAAAGCTGATATGAAGGGGCTTGTTAGGTTTTTCTACTTAAAAAGCATACATGCCCACAACAGAAATATTCATTGGCTTCTTACTAGTTCTAGGAACTCTTCTGAGCATTTTGCTGAACTTATCTCACTAATCCTCATGATAGCCCTAGCTGCTGGCTCTACCTTATGATGTCCATTGAAGAGCCTCCAGTGATGTGATTTGCTAAGAATCCTCAGCTCTTAAGAGTCCAAGTGGAGATTGGAATCTAGGTGTGTCTGACTCTAGACACTAATCTCTTTTAGCCAGCATAATATATTGTTCACCAGAATGCCTGCATTTCATTGGCATTTTCTTAATTACTGAAAAGTAATTAAGAAAAGGTTAAATTGCAATCACTGCTTTTGATATTCCACAAACATCTTACGTTAAAATTTAATGAAATCAAATAGATCAGAATAAAAAAGCAAAATGTCAGATTAGCTACATTTTAGAAACCTCTAAAATGTGGGAAAGCTGTTCTGCATTCCTTTTGTAGCTGTCTGAATTTTGCAATTATGAATGTGCATTATTTTTTCTCATGTTGACTTTCCTCATGTTATTTATAAGAACAAGAGACTTACATATAGTTGAGCACTTTAAAATATCTGTTCTGAGCTTAGTGGGACTTAAGAAAAGCTCTCTTCCTTCCACAAGTTTTTCCTTATTGTCTCCACAAGAATACTTGAAATTCTCATATCATGTGGTCTTTTGGGGTAAGGATTTAAAAGCAGGAGTGAAAATGCAAATGTCATCCCAAAGAGTTGATCCATTAAGCCGTTATCAGCCACCAATACCTTAGCAGGAATTAGTTGATTAGAAACCAAAGAATCTAGAGAGAATTAACTGTGTAAAAAAAAAATCACATACTCTAGTAGGCCAGAATAAGCTGGCACTTATACAAACAAAATCTAGAGACAAATTTTTGGAAAAAAAATAAAAATAGAGGTAAGTTGGGACAAAAATAACGAGCAAGTGTCAGGTTGGCCGCGAATGACAGGAAAGAAGCAAGGTGGGCTACTTCAGTCATATTTTTCTTCCACATCTTCCCACAAAGAAAATGAGTTTCCAACTGGAAATGGGAGAACTTGGCAAGTATCAGAAAAAAGAAACTGGAATCCACGATAAAGAGGGAGAGAGCCTCTAATTGCCTGTGAAAGGAGCTCTCAGCAAAGGATGTAGATCAGTGATACAAATTTTAACAGTTAAAAACTAAATCATACATTCTGTGAATTCAACAACTAATATAGCTGGAGGTTGTGACCAGTACATTTGTTTGAGTGTCCAGGTCATCCAGGGTCAATAAAAGTACACAGCTTCTCCACTACTGTAGTCACAATGGACGGTTCCTCAGCCACATGTGTGCAAGGACTGGGACGACTGAATCGACTATTTAGAGGGCCGAGGCCAGAAACTACAGGCAAGAATAAGCCTTCCATCTCTGGAAATATTATAAAATTAATTCTTAAACTGATAATTTATCAGCACAGTCATTAATGAAGCAAACGGGTTGCACTAAGAATAATTCCAGAACTAATTTCTTTTAATAGAATTGGTAGTTGGCAAGATCAAGAGGCTTTCACTGACAAGTAAAAATCATTGGAGAGGAAGCCCCCACCCTTATACATGCATATACCATTTGAAATAACTACTATAATAAACCAGCCTGCAGGCGGGTGCCATATTACTCAGCTCTCTTGGTGCAGCAGTGGTTGGGAACTGGAGAGACACAGTAACTTTACCATGATTTTTCAGCAAGGTCTTTGGCAAAATCTGTAGTTGAACCTTAAAACTCTAGTTAAGTTAACTAGCTTTTCCTTCAGTATGCATTTGTAACCTCAAATTAAATAGACACAGACCAAGAGGAAAGGTGAAGGAATCTGCTGCTTTTACAAAGCGAAGGCACCTCTCCTCATCTGTCTCTACCTTGAAACTGCAATGAAAAATAAGACAGAAATGGGATGAGAAAACATGATAGGATTTCCAGTGACTGTTGTCTGGTGATTAAGGGATTGAGCACCCCCCCACACACACACACACCCACGCATATACACACACAGGTATGTATACCACATTCTCTACTACCACCATGGATAATAGAGTGAATCTGAGTTCATTGAGGTGAAGGTGGGTGAACCATCTTTTATAATTCTTACACATTATAAAAATGTATAACATTCTTATAAGTTATACATTCTTATAATTTATATATACAGTATTAAAATTGATATACACAGTATTATAATTTATAATTATACATTCTTGTAATTTATATATACATTCTTATAATTTATAAGAATGATAAAAGATCCAGTTTTTTATAGAATAATGGTAGAAGTTGTCTCCAAGGCTGCTTTATTTTAAGAAGACTTACTGAATGTTGTAAGCAGCTAGTTGGTGTATTTGTAACATAAGATACGATTGCCAGAATCCTGGCCTCATGGTGCAGGTGTAAGCATGTAAGTGTGTAAGCATCTCTGCCCAGGGAGGAAAGTATGGAGGAGGGCAGAGGGCATGGCTCTCCTTCCCACTCATGAGGCCTTCTGACATATCTTCTCCAAACTCTGGACCCTAGTCTTGATATATGGTTCTTACTTAGTATATCTCAATTTTTTTTTTCTTTAGGCACTAGTTCAGATCGCCATTTATAGTTCTTAATTTATGCTTTACATCTTCCTCTACTCTTTTGTTAGGTCCTTTGTCACGGTGCACTTATGACATAGAAATGGTCAACCAAGAAAAGTCTTCAAGAGGCAACCCTAAGCCATTACTATGATTCCCTTCTTATGTAATGTTTTTAATCAGTGATTCTTCTGGCATAATAAATATATTTGGCCTTTGGCTCTGACTCCTGGCACAGAGCCCCTAAGACCCTTGGAGCTTCCTGAGTGGCAGGAATGTCTTTTATTGGTCACAAAGAGTTTCTTTTGATCACATCCAACTTAGGGCGAAACCCCTAGAAAGCCTCAAAATGAGGCTGGTCACCAGAAAGACCAAATGATGAGAGGGTTGGAATCTTTTACCCCACCTACCAACCTCCTAGAAGGGAAGCAGGGCTGGAGATTAGGCTCTATGAAAATTCCTGAATGACAAGAGTTGATAAGCTTCTGAGTTGATGAACACACAGAGGTGCTAGGTTAGTGGCATCCCCAGAGAAGGTATAGAAACTGTGTGCAACTACTCCCCCGGTGCCTCCCATCATGCCTTTTCCTATGCATTTCCTCCTTTTACCTGTTCCTGAATGTGTCCGTTGTGATAAACCACTAGATACAAATAAAGTACCATCTTGAGTTCCCTGAGATACTCTAGCAAATTATTGAACCCTAGGAGAGGTTTGTGAGAACCCAAGATTTAAAGCTGGTTGGTCTGAAGCATTGATGGGTTGGACTTATGATTGGCATCTGAATTATGATTTTGGAACTGAGTCCTTCACCTGAAGGGTTTTCACTAACTCTGGGTAGTTAGTATCCAAATTGTATTGAATTGTTGGATAACCAGTTGGTGTGTAGAAAGTTGTAGAGTTGCTTTACTCCCAAACTTATAACATCCTTCTTTTTGCCATCCTAATTGGTATGAACAGTTTTACTAGTTGTACAAGTCAGTGATCCTGTTCATCATCCTTGGCTTCACCCTGAACTCCTCATCAGGTAAAAACCTGAACATTTGGTGTCAGAAATGCTGTGATTAGAGGGATCGTTATTTTCCCTACTCTGATTATAACATCAAACTACGCTTATCAAATTTACAGATGACACAAACTTGGAAGGAATATCTAAGGACATTATGGAAAGGTTAAAAAGGATTTGAAGAGAAATGAAACTATCTGTATTCAAGCTTCCTTTCTACCACTAACTAGTGGGACTCAGTTTTCTTATAAAAGAGTAATGTTTGGCCCTGGGAGTTGAGTAAACTGCTCATACAACTAGGGACTAGTGAGTGACTGAAGCATAATCAGAGCCTAGGTATATTTGCCTTAGCTTTTAACCAGAATATCAGAGTGGTCCAAGCAGGAAATTATGCACCTGAAATAAGGCAATGGCAGTGATCATGGAAAGGGATGACACAGAAAAAGACTCAAAGGACTTTGAGGTACAATGTTCCCTGGTAAAAGCTAAAGAGAAGGGCCTGAAGAATTCAGGTTGAAGCCAAGGATGATAACCAGGATCGCTGGCTTGGACGACTAGTAGAACGGTTCTATCACTTAGAATGGCAAAAAGAAGGATGCAAACATTTGGAAGTAAAGATAAATTCTATTATAAATGTCAAAAAGGAGATTTCAACATTCCTTATGTAAACACCTTGTATATAATTGGGTAAATAGGTCTAAACTTCAGAAGAGATAATTTGGGAGCACCAATACAGCATTAGCCGTGGCAACAATAGTCAAAACTGTACATATGAATGAGAGTGCACAGAATGAGGAACCAGCAGTACCAACCAAGCAGTGAGGGACAGCAGCATTAAGGAGTGGACAGAGGAGACAGAGACACAAATGAGACTTAGAAAAAGCAGGTAGAGGGATCGGCAGAGAAGCACAGGGCACGGAGTCTATAGAAGCCACCAGAGGAGAGAGAGAGGGTCAAGCAGTTGCAGAATTTGGCAAAGGAGGATATAAAGACTCATCGAGATTACTAGAAGTGTTCTCCTTTTGGCCACTGGCCAGACCTTGTTCACTTCTTGCCCCTTGTTCATCTCATTGCCCATGGAACTAACCAATGATCAGTTCTCAAGACTTTTCCACCAGTATCCTCACTCAGGAGTGATCTCACCAGCTGCTTCAGTATCTCAGAAAGTTCCCCTATGGTCAGCTGGCTTTACTGTTCACAACATGTTTCAAAACATGAGATTGACATGTTTTAAAAAAGCTGTTCTCAGCTGCCCTCTCCTTATTAAGGTATACCATGACATGGCTTTGGCAATAGTTAATGCAGAAATACTAATAAGAAATGAGAACATTGTTATTTGCTTCAAGGTAAATAAGAGTTGGCAGAGTAATAAAGCTGCTCAAATACAATGTTCGGATGATCTTACCTCACATTAATGAAGAAGGGCCAAGAACACGGGAAATAATAGCCGTATTTTCTTCTACACTGGTTCAACTATATGTACTATGATGCGCTCTATTCTGGGTACCAAACTTCAAGAAAAATAATTCATTTGAAGATACAGAAAAGAGGGCAAAACGGAAAACATTCTATAAGTGTTTTTGTGTATTTGTTTTTAATGATGAAGTTATCCATTATAGCAACAAGTTGGACACATTTTCAGAAAGGAAGGCTCCTTTCTGCTTTCTTCATCATTTCTAAAAATGCGGATATTTTTACTTACCACTCAGAAAATGCCTGATTAACACCTGGAGAGGTTCAGTACTGGCAATCCAAACTGTTTAGCAGGGCCTCCTGGGAAGAGCAGAGAAAATAGCTGAAAAAAAAGAGAAAATAATTCTAATACAGTAATTATCAGGTCGAGCATGGTGGCTCATGCCTGTAATCCCAGCACTTTGGGAGACCAAGACAGGATAATCACAAACTCTGAAGTTCGAGACCAGCCTGACCAACATGGTGAAACCCCGTCTCTACTAATAGTACAAGAATTAGCCGGCTGTGGTAGTGCACACCTGTAATCCCAGCTACTCGGGAGGCTGAGGCAGGGGAATCACTTGAACCTGGGAGGCAGAAGCTGTAGTGAGCCGAAATCATGCCACTGCGCTCCATCCTGGATGACAGAATGAGACTCCACCTCAAAAAATAATAATCATCATAATTATCAATGTGGGTTGGTTTCTATTTATTTATATAGGTGGATTTTTCATAAACAGATTTGGAAAACACTGGCTTAAAAACATGCAATTTTCATGAAGCAGGGCCTCCTGCACAGTCTTTAATATACAAGGGATACATTAAATGTGAATGTGCAAGGGACACAGTTTCTCAAATTTATTTGACCCTTTTTGGACTGTCTTGAGGCCATAGTGCTCCCCAGAACACACATTGGGAAACTGATCTAGGAAGTGAAAAGAGAAGAAGGAAGTGGTAGCACAAGCCAAGACAGATGGAACTTGTTGACTGACTGCCACATAAAGTTCCTGTTCCAGAGAAAACAGAAGGCATAGTGATGACTACAGAGAGAATACTGATAAAAGGCAAAACTTGATGGTGAGAACTCTCGGCGTTCTGATTCTTATCTAACACATTCACATTTTTATATTTATTTCCATTGATCCATGGTAAGGCTAAATGAAAGGCACTTTAGGCATAATAAGTAAGCATTAAAATCATAAAATAGACAAAAATAAAATAAAAACTTAGTATATTGTCATTGAATGCTAACAGCTACAGAATCTGAATTTGCTTGAGAGCTGCATACAGAAAATGAATCCTTTTAAACAACTTTCTATAATAAAAGAACCAAACCACTATTGAAGATAGTAGTAAATTTTACTTAAATTTTTGAAATATCATACTTGTTCACTTTGGAGAGATGACTAAGTAAATATAATTGACCTAGAAATAAGTACATTGGGAAGTTTTCATATTTTTAATAATCCTATATATTTTTTCAAAACAATTGGTTAATAGATTTATCCTAGTTCTTCTTTATTACCTACTTAGAGACCTCTGTACAAATATGTGCTTGTTAATCACATAAATAATGCCATAAGTAATGGAAAATGCTGGTGATTTTTAGCAAATAGAAAATAGTAAAAATACAGGCAGTCATGGACTAGAGTATAGGCATAACTGTTAGGCACAGGTAACAATATTTAGGACCCAAGTCATCGGTCCAGGGATGTGTGGCTAAGATGGAAGAGGTAAAACAGGGCCCTTCACATCAAAGCAGACTTGGATCCATGATGAGACACAATTGTTTTCTGTATGCCAAAGCCATGAAAATCTTTCAAGGGCTCATGTGCTTGAATTCCTTGAACTCAGTTTCCTGCTAGAATCTCTGCATTTTTCAGTCCTACTCCCATCTTGACTGCCATCCCAAAGGAAGATGTGTCTAACTCTGGTCCTCTCAAAGCTAATGTCTTAATCCAACACTTCTATTCTCCCCTTTGGTACATCAATCCATCTTTTGTAGTTATTCTATCTGCCTCCTCCTTCCTCTTCAACTTTTAATGGGCTCTGATTTCCTTAACTTCACAAATATGCAAATACCAAATAAAACCCCAATCATCCCTTGACTTTGCCTTTTCTTCACAGGAATTGCTTGTCTCTTTCTTCACTTAGTGGGTGAAATTATTGGAAAAATAACCAATAACTGTTGACTGTAGTTCTTCCCTTGCCATTTATTTCTTAGGGAAGCATTCTGGCTCTTATTATCATCTCTAATAACAACAATAATGGAGTAACAGGCACTTATAACCATAAATGCATTCCATAGAAGATAGAAATTGTTATACAGTTGGCCTTTTCTTCTGAAAAATCTCAGTGGGTTTGGTTATGTTCTTTTGGAGACAAGACTAGAAGTGAACTGATCTGCACAATTTGGAGATCAAGAAGGTAATTCTAGAGGAAAGGAATAGCAGAGCACGGAAGCTGAGAAGGAGCCAGTGAGATTGAGAGTAGATAACCCTCTCTGCAGTGTGACTCCCTTACTGTCACCCCTAGCTGTCTAGCAAATCTAACTGAATAACATGCATACCATGAATAAGCATGTTCGTGTGTGAAAACGAGGGAAGGGCTAGTTTTTCTCTCCCAGGTTAGTGTTGGTAAACAAAGATACATATAGGGATATTCTCATTACATATGTCTACCTCCCTTACTGTGGGTCTTATTTAATAAAAGAATGTTTCTTCAGCGTTTGTTATCCAAACACTCATTTTATTTTCACAATAATCTCACAGAGTACCACATGCTATTATCCCTATTCTGCAGATGAGGAAATTGAAGCTCAGAGAGTTTAAGTGGCTTGCCAAGGCCTACAGAACCAGTAAGTGGCAGGAATTCATATTACCTTGTACTTAGTAGGTATTCAGTTTATATTAAATTTACCTAGTTTGAGAGGCAGCATGCATTTTAGTGAATTGGATTGTGAGTATATTCATCAACTCTTGTTCTATGGTAGGATACTGTCTTAAATCTAATATACAAGCAAGGACTCATGCTGAGTTAATGCTTCTAATAGAATAACCTAGAAATTTATTATTTTACTGTGGTGCTGTCAGCACTAGAAAAACTTTATTTGGTTTCTGTTTTTCTCATTTTTGCTGCAAATAAAGAGAATAGCCTCAGGAAGGTGATTTGCCTGTCATTTGATCTTTATGAAGAAATTACACATAATTAACTTATTTCATTTTTAGTAAGCTACTAATTAGGTGCTTCGTTGAGATTGCAAAGGTTTAATTTTCTGGCTTCCAGCATGGAAGTAAAAAAGAATCCACTATCATAGAGAAAACAAAATCATCAGGAGTTCTTGAGCCCCCAAAGAAAATAAATGATTGAACAAAAGAATAGCAATGGGAGGCTTTAATCTGAGCATTTAAAGAGAAACAGAGACGGAGGAAATCTTGCGATCAAAGCCACCAAATGAAAAGAGAAATAAATTATTTATTTAGCAGAGGGTAACATTTTTCTTCGTGATACTTATTTTTCTTAGAAATCAAACCCATCCTCTCTATTGTGTCATAATATTTTAGATTTCACAGCATGGATTACTGTACTCTTTTATTTTTAAATTTAGCCTTATTATTCCCAACAGGCAACTTAACATTTAATATCTGAAGGTCATTGCTGTACAAATGTGATGTGAAAAAAAATAAAATTTAGCAGCTGTATCATATTATACTAATCAGAAAGGAAGGAAATAAAGAACAAACAGCAGTGTAAGATGGCTGCAGTGTGGATGAGTGAGATGGACTAAGCAATTAAGTATTTTGTTGCAGAGAGAATCTGACTGTGTATTGTTTTTCTCAAATTTTCAGCTTGTATTAGGTAGAGTCAAAGAGAATATAGAAGTGTTGAGAATTAGGACAAAATTCAGTTTATCTTATATGACCTTCATTTGTGGAGTAAAAAGAACATATTTCAGAAGACAGATATGCTAGCTCTTGAATACTAGGTGATTTTAATAGTATTATGATAATTTTATTAGAGATTATTTACAATCAAGAACCTGAGAGGTTTGCTGTTGTTGTTGCCATTGTTGTTTTTAGGAATGTTCACAGAGGTCACATTTTCCAACCTTAGAGTTTTGCTGCTTGATTTCTTTTGTATTTGTAGCTTACGTGGAAGCAGCACCATGCTCAGCACAAGAAAAGCCTTTCAACAGGAGTTTAAGCACAGCTATATGCAAGTGAAATTAAACAGAAAACAATCCCAATAGTCCTATTCTTCATAAGACCTTAAGACACTTGGGGTTTGGTTTAATTTATTGAAGTCTCTCACTCTTTTAGCATATGGGTGATAATAGTCAAGAGAAATTATTTACCATCATCTACTGATGAAAATCGTAGGTGGAAGAGATCTTGGAATCCTTCTAGGATTGGTAAGAACATGAAGGTTTGGGGAGATGAAATCTTGCTAAAATTATAGAACTAGTTAGTGGCAGAGATATGATTAGAGTCCAGGACATTAAATATCTAGTTCAGTCCTCTTTCCACTGTTCACCTCTGAGTCTCTGCTCCCTCAATGCTAGGACCCAACTATTGATTATCTCTTGATTTTTAAAGTGTAAGACCATGGTACTGTTTTTCATAGCCACCTACAATTCTCTAGAACTCTATGGAAAATTTCACTGGCATTTTATGATACCAACCATGGAAATTCCCTCTCAATTCCAAAGGGACATTGGCAGAATTTTATAATTAAGGGCCATGTCTAGTGTTATCAGCCAAGTTATGTCCCCCACCAGCTTAAATTTTTTTAACCAAAATGTCCTCTATATACTGCAGGAGATAGGGAAGATTATCAATTAGGGAAATGGTAAGAAAATATTAAAACTTTTATTTTTATAAAATTTACCAATATCATGCACCCACATCAGTCCACTTGCATAAGTCAAGAGTGATAAAATATTTACACAACAATTTCAGTGAAGCAATTTT